>NC_000013.11:114196501-114354328 GCF_000001405.40 Homo sapiens
AATGTAATAGCTAACTAGAAAATGCCAGCTTAAAAGCCCAGGAAAATAGAAAAGGCAGGGTTAGTAAGGAATAAACTCACCGAAGACAAAATGCAGTCTAGGTGATTAATTAGCCCCGTCTGTCCGTGAGGGAGCTGGTTGATAATTGGAGCAGAAATCTTTCCCCAGTCGTTGTGCTGACTATAAACCAAAAATTATCTGAGACAGGTCTCAATCAATTTAGAAGTTTATTTTGCCAAGTTTAAGGATCTGCCCGTGACACAGCCCCAGGAAGTCCTTGAAAACATGTTCCCAAGGTGGTCAAGATACAGCTTGGTTTTATACATTTTAGGGAGACTTGAGACGTCAATCAATACGTGTAAGGTGTACATTGGTTTCGTCCAGAAAGGCAGGACAACTTGGAGTGGGAGCAGGGGTACTTCCAGGTCACAGGTGGATTCAAAGATTTCCTGACTGCCAATTGGTTGAAAGAATTTATCTAAAGACCTGGAATCAATAGAAGGGAGTGTCTAGGTTAAGACAAGGGGTTGTGGAGACCGAAATTCTTATCATGCAGATGAAGCCTCCAGGTAGCAGGCTTCAGGGGAAATAGACTGTAAATATTGCTCATCAGAGTTAAAAAGGTGCCAGACTAAGTAAATTCTCTCCTGGATCAGGAAAAAGACCTGGAAAGGGAAGGAGATTCTCTACAGAATGTAGATTTTCCCCACAAGAGACAGCTTTGCAGGGCCATTTTGAAATATGTCAAATAAATATATTTTGGGGTAAAATAGTTATATATTTTTTAAACACCTGCTATCTATCATGTTGGTATCTTATTGCTACAAAGAGTCTTTTTGTCAGTTTTAAGGTCTCTGTTTTAACCTTAATGCTGGTCAGTTGTGCCTAAATTCCATTGGGAGCAGGGCATAATGAGGCATGTCCAACCCCACTTCCCATCATGGCCTGAACTAGTTTGTCAGGTTAACTTAGGAATGCCCTTGGCCAAGAGGAGGGGTCTGTTCAGTTGGCTGGGAGTTGTGGAGGGGGCTTAGAATTTTATTTGTGGTTTACATGACCCATCATGTCTTGGGGGGAAGGGAAGTGGATTCACAGTGACAATTTATTCAGTGCAGTTCCAGAATAACTAGCATCATTCCCTTACAGTAAACCATTTCTTAACCACCTCAGAATGTTGGGTTTTGGGTTTGTTTGTTTTTGAGATAGAGTCTCACTGTGTCGCCCAGGCTGGAGTCCAGTGATACAACTTCAGCTCACTGCAGCCTCTGCCTCCCAGGTGCAAGTGATTCTCCTGCCTCAGCCTGCCGAGTAGCTGGGATTACAGGCGCACCCACCATCAAGCCCTGCTAATTTTCGTGTTTTTAGTAGTGATGGGGTTTCACCATGTTGGCCAGGCTGGTCTCAAACTCCTGACTTCAGGTGATCTGCCCGCCTCGGCCTCCTGAAATGCTGGGATTACAGGTGTTGTTTATTTCTTTTTTCTTTTCTTTTTTTATTTTGTTTTTTAGACGGAGTCTCGCTCTGTTGCCTGGCTGGTGTGCAGTGGCACGATCTCGGCTCACTGCAACCTCCGCCTCCCGGGTTCAAGCGATTCCCCTGCCTCAGCCTCTCCAGTACCTGGGACTACAGGCCCGCACCACCACGCCCGGCTAATTTTTTGTATTTTAGTAGACACAGGGTTTCACCATGTTGGCCAGGATGGTCTGATCTCCTGACCTCGTGAAGTTTACCTCATTTGGTGATTGAGAATTGCATGGTTATCTCGAAGTAATGCCTCCAGGACAAAAGGCTGTGGGCTTTATATGAGCCTGTTAAGCAGTGGTGTTAAAATGGGCTGAACTGAAGCCGAGTAACCAGTCTCCAGCATATCTGCAGACCGACCACTTGGAAGCCTAAAACAAGAGGCAGATTCTTTTCCTCTGGGCTCAAATATTCTCTTCTTATAACTGAATAAAATATCTCTATCTTTCTTAAAATATAAAAAAGATTTCCTCATTAGCACCACCGCCACATGTTACTTTTGGAGGGTCACCTAATTTTACAAGATAGTGCCTCGCCTCAGTGTTACTCTCACTTACTCCACCCAATGCGTTCCAATCCATGGGCAAAGCAGCTGGTGGTCCCCGCTGAGGGGTGACGGCGCGTCCCCGTGTTTACGGTCCCCGCTGAGGCGTGACAGTGGGTCCCCGTGCGTACGGTCCCCGCTGAGGGGTGACGGCGCGTCCCCGTGTGTACAGTCCCCGCTGAGGGGTGACGGCGCGTCCCCGTGCTTACGGTCCCTGCTGAGGCGTGACAGTGGGTCCCCGTGTGTACGGTCCCCGCTGAGGCGTGACAGCGCGTCCCCGTGTGTACGGTCCCCGCTGAGGGGTGACGGCGCGTCCCCGTGTGTACGGTCCCCACCGAGGGGTGACGGCGCGTCCCCGTGTGTACGGTCCCCGCTGAGGTGTGATGGCGCGTCCCCGTGGGTACGGTCCCCACTGAGGCGTGACAGCGCGTCCCCGTGTGTACGGTCCCCGCCGAGGGGTGACGGCGCGTCCCCGTGGGTACGGTCCCCGCTGAGGCGTGACGGCGCGTCCCCGTGTGTACGGTCCCCGCTGAGGCGTGACGGCGCGTCCCCGTGGGTACGGTCCCCACTGAGGCGTGACGGCGCGTCCCCGTGTGTACGGTCCCCGCCGAGGCGTGACGGCGCGTCCCCGTGTGTACGGTCCCCGCCGAGGCGTGACGGCGCGTCCCCGTGGGTACGGTCCCCACTGAGGCGTGACGGCGCTTCCCCGTGGGTACGGTCCCCGCCGAGGCGTGACGGCGCGTCCCCGTGGGTACGGTCCCCACTGAGGCGTGACGGCGCGTCCCCGTGGGTACGGTCCCCGCCGAGGCGTGACGGCGCGTCCCCGTGGGTACGGTCCCCGCCGAGGCGTGACGGCGCGTCCCCGTGGGTACGGTCCCCACTGAGGCGTGACGGCGCTTCCCCGTGGGTACGGTCCCCGCCGAGGCGTGACGGCGCGTCCCCGTGGGTACGGTCCCCACTGAGGCGTGACGGCGCGTCCCCGTGTGTACGGTCCCCGCCGAGGCGTGACGGCGCGTCCCCGTGCTTACGGTCCCCGCTGAGGCGTGACGGCGCGTCCCCGTGCGTACGGTCCCCGCCGAGGCGTGACGGCGCGTCCCCGTGCTTACGGTCCCCGCTGAGGCGTGACGGCGCGTCCCCGTGCGTACGGTCCCCGCTGAGGGGTGACGGCGCGTCCCCGTGCGTACGGTCCCCGCTGAGGGGTGACGGCGCGTCCCCGTGCGTACGGTCCCCGCTGAGGCGTGACGGCGCGTCCCCGTGCGTACGGTCCCCGATGAGGGGTGACGGCGCGTCCCCGTGCTTACGGTCCCCGATGAGGCGTGACGGCGCGTCCCCGTGCTTACGGTCCCCGATGAGGCGTGACGGCGCGTCCCCGTGCTTACGGTCCCCGATGAGGCGTGACGGCGCGTCCCCGTGCTTACGGTCCCCGATGAGGCGTGACGGCGCGTCCCTGTGCTTACGGTCCCCGATGAGGGGTGACAGTGGGTCCCTGTGTGTTCGGTCCCCGCTTAGGGGTGACGGCGTGTCCCCGTGCTTACGGTCCCCGCTGAGGCGTAACAGGGCGTCCCCTCGCGTACGGTCCCTGCTGAGGCGTGACAGTGGGTCCCTGTGTGTTCGGTCCCCGCTGAGGCGTGATGGCGCACTCGCCGATATGAGACGAGGCAGCGTAAAACTCCCAGGGCACTCAAGTCACAGAAACGTGGCGTGAGGAAGAGCCTCGCAATCTGCCGGCGCTCCTCCAGCCTCCTTCTCTGTCCCCAGCTGGAGGAGGAACGGCTCTCCGTCATCGAGAGGGACAACCGCCTGCTCCTGGAGAAGGTGGCCTCTGTCATGAGGACCAGGGGACAGACTGACAGCAAAAACAACTCCAAGCACAGGAGGTAAGGGAGCGGCTCCTGCCATCCCACCCGGCTCAGCACCAAACCCGAGTGCTGGGAAGGGGTTGGGGATGAGCAGAAGAGCTGCCCGTGGGTGGGAGTCGAGGCGTTTCTGTCCTCTCCCGAAAACAGCCACAGCTCTGAGGAGTGCCCTTTTCCTTGGCGGATTGTGATTCCAAGTTTTACTTGAGACTCCTAGGCTGTTTCCGCAACCCACAACTAAATCACAGTTAGCGGCTGTGAGCTGCCCGTGTGCCAGACACTCCTCTGAACCTGCTAAGCGCTTGACTCAGAACCCTCACAGGACCCCGTGTGGTACGGGCTCTTGTGCACCTCACAGGACAGTAGGAAACGGAGGCACTGGGAGGTGGCAGAACTTGGCCAAGGTTGCAGTTCGGCGGCGGAGGAACACAGGCTGTACCCCAGCCCTGCTCATGCAGTTCTCAAAGGTGTCAAGTTACCAAAAGCAGCAAAAGGTTTTGTTTCTCTGTCAGCAGACCACTAGGTCCAGCATCTTTCTGGAAAAAACACCGAAAATCATGTACCCCTGCATCCTGTGTGGGTCCCAGCCTGGGATACTGGTACTGCTCTTTCATAACCTCACTTTTCACCCAGAAGTGGAGTTCTGCCCTCTGTGAAAATGAATATCAGCAGGCTTTCATACTCCTTAAAATCACCTTATAAATGCTTGACTGTGAATCCTAAAAGCCTCTCTTGTCTAAGGTCAATAACCTCTGCCCCCTGCATCTTACACATCCTAGAGTAACCTCATAGTTACACCATGGCCCTTTCCCTGTAAGTGCAAGATTTTGATGGTGATTGTGATAGTTAATTCTAATGAAGGGGTTTTTGTTCCGGAAGTGCTTGAACCTTTTAAGACTTTTGGCCTGTACCTATCCCCAAGAAGCTTATAGTAGTTTCAGATTTCATAATAAATTAAAATATAATTGATCCTCAGGTACCTCGAGGTGTGTGATACAGGAAGATTGCAGGCCCAGCAGGGTGCACCACTGGGAAGGTGCTGCTCCAAGCTCAGGCGGGCCCTGCATGGTCCTGTGTGCTGGCTTTGTTCAAAGGCCCAACTGGAGCAAACCTGCCTCAGAGATGATTTACTGTGGGCTTCCAGGGCTTCAAGGGAAGCCATGGGAAAGTCAACCATTTTTCTCAAGAATGCATCAGTTTGGGGCTTGATAACTGGCTATTTCATGTCTCAGTTGACTCCATTCTTTAACAAAGGACACTTGCCGAGTTAATGCACAATGCTGGAGAGAAACAGTTCGTTTTCAGGGGAGTCTCAGCTGCTTCTGGAGCACTGCAGACCAGTTGGTTGATGGAATAAACATATCTAGCTAGCTGGTCAGCCAGTAGCACAAATCAACATGAGAGAAACTATAGAGCCAACAATTGGACTTTCACTCCTGATTTCATTTTTCATGTCTTTATTCAGATGTGATTGGCATACAGTAAACACATATTCAAAGTGTATGTGATAGGTTTGTCATATGATACACCCATGACACCAGCACCCCAGTCAAGACAGTAAACATATTCATCACTCCCCAGGTTTCCCTGAGCCTTTCGGTCCCCCTACCCACCACCCTCTGCCCATCGAAGGTTCCCTATGGGTGCCTTTGCACTTTCTGGATTTTATGTGTATAGGTTCATCAAGTATCTGCGTTTTGTCTGCCTTTCAGTTAGCATAACGTTGAGTAGTGTTCCATCGTACGGATCTATCACAATGTGTTTATCCATTCACCTGTTGATGAGCATTTGGGTGGTTTCCAGTTTTGGGCTATTACAAATAAGGCTGCAATCAGAGTTTATGTAAAAAGAAATTCAGAGATGAATACCTCTGCCCAAGACTGAAAACTCAATGACAAATGGATTTCAAGTGGGATCCACATGAGAGACCCCCAGAATGACCGCATGAGGAGCTCTCTCAACCCACTCCCCAGCAAAACTTTTGAAAATGGTTAAAACACAGTCATTTAGAGTCTCTGCTGTATGGTCCTAAGAAGAAACATATATTCAAGAAAAGCTACTGTAATTTGACAAGAACAGCAAATGTCCCTGGTATATGAGCTAAAACCTGCTGTCTCCCCACTGCTTCCAGCTCAGCAATGCAGATGCACACCAGAAGCTGCAGCCAAGTGCATGGGCTCTGCTCCCCACAGCTCCTAGTCGAAGGGCCTTCTTCCTGGAAGGGGCAGGGCCTTACTTTTCTCATCTTGTCTGCAGTTGCCTGTTGCTGAGACTAAATCCCAGGTGAGTGTGGCCCCACGCTGGAGATGCTCTTGTTCTGCCCATTTCCTGTTTGTGGAGTGGATGCTTAGCCTGCAGCCTTGGGAATGGTGATCCTAAGACTACAGGAGCCAAGATCCCCTTGGTCTGGTTCATAGGCATTGGTTCCATGCTGGGAGAGTCACGCCGAGAAGACCTGTGTGTCCCTCCAACACACACACACAGTGGAGCACAGAGCCTGGGGTGTCACTCAGAGAGAAGATCGCCATTGTTCCCACTCCGAGCTCCAGGGCTCTGAGATTTTGCCCAGAGGAAGAAGCAGACCCTCGTAACAGCTCCCATTCTCTTCCCAAAGGGATGGTTTAATTTGCAACAGAATTTAGAAAAGTGCAAGCCTCACTGGACATGAAAATAAAAGACATCGAAATTGGGAAGGAAGAAGCAAACTATTTCTATTCACAGATGATATGATCTTGCATATAGAAAATCTTAAGGAATGCACTAAAAAGCTGTAGAACTAATCCACAAGTTCAACAAGGTTGCAGAATACAAGAT
Source organism: Homo sapiens (assembly GCF_000001405.40). Classification (NCBI taxonomy): domain Eukaryota; kingdom Metazoa; phylum Chordata; class Mammalia; order Primates; family Hominidae; genus Homo; species Homo sapiens. The sequence continues at coordinate 114,203,237 of NC_000013.11, forward strand.
CAATACACAAAAATCAATTGTGTTTTTATATACTTGCAATGAGCAATCTGAAGAGGAAACTAAGAAAACAATTCCATACTCAAAAGTATCAAAAGAATAGGTACTTAGGAATAAACAAAGGAAGTACAAAATTTATACTCCAAAAACTACAAACCGTCATCCACAAAAATTGAAGATCTAAATAAATGGAAAAATATCCCACGTGTATGGATTCAGAAGTCTTGCTATATTAAGATGGCAATATACAAACTATTGCAGAATTTTGCTCCTTAGTTCAGCTGAAACTGGGTACTTGTCACATGACCAGGAAAATCTAGGCACACGAACACATTGAAGGGTGAGTAGAGCAGGATTTTCTTGGGTGACAAGGGAAAAAAAGAAAAGAAAAAGAAAACTCAGCAAAGTGAGATGGAGTCCTGCTAACAGGCTCCCACCTCACAAATGGAATCCCAGGCCACCACACAGGAACTGAAGAGGCCAGGCTCCTCCCCTGCCCGTGGCTTCACCCGTTTCCCCAGTGCGCATGTGGGCATGTGCAGACAAGGCCCTGGGCAGGTTCCCTCATCTGCACAAAAGCATCTGGTGTAAACACTTGTCAGATGGGGCAGAGATTCTGGGCATTTGGCTGTCTCAAACCCAATCTACAAATTCAATACAATCCCAATTAGAACTCCAGCCAACTTCTCTGTAGAAATTGACCCACTGGTTCTAAAATTTGATGGATTGTTTTAGTCAAAACAATCCTGAAAAAGAAGATCAAAGTAGTAGGACTCATGTGTCCTTATTGTTGCTGGGGAGCAATGGCTATCTCAGCCAGTGGCATGGGGGTAATGAATTTACCAAGACAGTTGTAGGTAAAGAAAGGCAGATTTATGAGAGAAAGTAGGAAAATACATTTCGAGGAGGCAGCGGGCAGCCCACAGGAGAGAGGCTGACTATGAGGAGACCAAGGCTTGCTGGGGATTTTATAGGGTGGCATTTATGCTGAAGAGGGCTTTGTGCAGTACCAATAACACCAAAGCTACAGTGAGCTAACTTGCAGGTGTCTGGTAATAGCTCGGCACAGGAAAATTGTGAGCTGTTTGCGCAGGAGGGCTGCGTGTTCTGGACCATGAAGAAAGGCAGACTTGTCGCTTACCTGCTTTATCTCTTTGCTTTCCCTTGGTCCCACCAGCTTGACTCCTCTTTCCTAATTAGGACTCCACACCTATTTCAAACTTACTAAGAAAGCTATAGTAATCAAGATAGTATTACACTGGCATTAAGATAGACATATAAATCAATGGGAGTCCATGTGTCTATAATCAATGTATTTTCAACAAAGGGGCCAAGACCATTCAGTGAGGAAAGAATAGTCTTTCCACAAATGCTGAGACAACTCTATCGCCACATGCAAAAGAATGAAGTTGGACTCTCACCTCACACCATATAGAAGAATTAATCAAAAACGGATCAAAGGCCTAAATGTAAGAACTAAAACCATAAAACTCTTAGAAGAAAACAGTGGGAAATCATCGTGACTTCAGATTTGGCAATGGAGTCTAAGATATGGCACCAAAAGCAGGAATGACAAACAAGAAGATACATAAACTGGACTTAATGAAAATTAACAACTTTTGTGCATCAAAGGACACTATCAAGAAAGTAAAAAAAACCCACAGAATGGGAGAAAATATTTGCAAATCAGATACGATTAGGGACTTGCATCTAGAATACATGAAGACCTCTCACAGTTCAGTGATAAAGACAATGACCTCATTAAAAGATGGGCAGAAGATCTGAATAGACATTTCTCCAAGGAAGACATACAGATGATTAATAAGCACATGAAAAGATACTTAGCATCATTCATCATCAAGGAAATGCAAATCGAAACCACAACGTGATAGCACTTCACGCCTATCAGATTGACTGGAATCAAAATGACAGATAAGAAGGAGTGTTGGTGACCATGTGGGGAAATTGGAACCCTCCAGGGCTGGGAGGAATGGTGCAGCCACTTGGGAAAACAGTCCAGAAGTTCCTCAAGTGATTAAACATATTTTAATAAATATATGGGGATTAAATATATTTACCATATAACCAATTTCACTCCCAAGTATATAACCAAGAGAAATGAAAACATGTCTACACGAAAACATATACAATTGATTTTTGTGTATTGATCTTATATTCTGCAACCTTGTTGAACTTGTGGATTAGTTCTACAGCTTTTTAGTGCATTCCTTAAGATTTTCTATATGCAAGATCATATCATCTGTGAATAGAAATAGTTTGCTTCTTCTTTCCCAATTTGGATGTCTTTTATTTTCATGTTCAGTGAGGGTTGAACTTCTCTAAATTCTGTTGCAAGTGAAACAGCATTTAGAACAGCTCGTCCCTTTGGGAAGAGCTGGGAGTGGAGACAATGGCAATCTTCTCTCTGAGTGACACCCCAGGCTCTTTGCTTCATTGTGTGTATGTTGTGGGGACACACAGGTCTTCTGGGCTTGCCTCTCCCATCTTGGAACCAATGCCTGTGAACCAGCCCAAGGGGATCCGGGCTCCTGTATTCTTAGAAGCACAATTTCCAAGGCTCTAGGCTGATCCTCCATTCCATAAACAGGGGCTGGGCAGAACAATGCCACACTCACCTGGGACTTAGTCTCAGCAACAGGCAGTTGAGGACAAGAGGAGAAAAGCTGAGGCCCTGCCTCTTCCAGGAAGGAGGCCCTTCGACTAGAAGCTATGGGGAGTAGAGCCTGTGTGCCTGGCTGCAGCCTCTGGAGTGCAGTCTGCATTGCCGAGCTGGGAACAGCAGGGAAAGAGCAGGTTTCAGCTCAAATGCCAGAGACATTTGCCAAATTACAGTAGCTTTTTTTCTTTTCCTTTTTTTTTTTTTTTTTGAGACAAAGTCTTGCTTTGTTGCCCAGGCTGGAGTGCAGTGGCACAATCTCGGCTCACTGCAACCTCCACCTCCCAGTTCAAGTGATTCTCCTGCCTCAGCCTCCCGAGTAGCTGGGATTACAGGCGCGTGCCACCACACCTGGCTAATTTTTGTATCTTTAGTAGAGACAGGGTTTCGCCATGTTGGCCAGGCTGGTCTTGAACTCTTGACCTCAGATGATCTGCCCACCTCAGCCTCCCAAAGTGCTGGGATTACAGGCGTGAGCCACCGCTCCTGGCCAGTAGCTTTTTTTAAATAAATGTTTCTTCTTAGGACCATACAGCGGAGACTTTGAACCCTAACCCTAACCATATAATGGAATATTGCCCAGCTATGAAATGGAATAAAGTATTGACACGGGCTACAACATGGATGAACTTTGAAAACATGCTAAGTGAAAGAAGGCAGTCACAAAAGACCACATATTAGACGATTCCACGTATATGAAACAAATCTATAGAAACAGAAAGTAGATCAGTGGTTGCTTAAGGCAAGGGTATGGAGGGGTAGCAAGATGATAAAGGGTCCAGGGCTCCCTAAGGAAGTGATGAAAATCTTCTCAACTGACTGTTGAGGACTGTGGGCGTCTCCCCATTGAACTGCACACGATAAATGAGTGACTTGTATGGTATGTGAACTGTATCTCAAGGAAGAATCTCACTGCTTTTGGGGGCTTCTAAGACCCACAGCCCATTCACCAAACCTACTGCAAATGGCAAGGGACCAGGGTCACTGGATTCTGGCCTTCTCTGGTCAGCTGGATGTGTATGGATGCTCCTGTATGGGATCAGGGAGGAGTTCTTGCCTTAAAGGGACAGGCATTGAAATGCCAACAAAAAGGGACCCCTCCCAGACCCAGTGCAATTCCTGAGGGGATAAAAGAAAGAAGCTGTGGCCCTGGCACAGGCTGCCAAGCATCACCACCGCATGGCAGCAGTGTCCCCGCATCCACCTGGTGTGGGCAAGGCACAAGCTCAGCCTGAGCCCCATCTGCTCCCCTGCCGCTGCAAGGGCAGCACCATGCAGGGCACACAGAAAGTCCTCAGGGCTCGCAAACCAGAAAGTATCTAGACAGGTCTCAAACAATCTAGGGGTTTATTTGCCACCATTGAGGACGCTACTGGGATACGGCATGGACAGCGAGGGGAGGGGTCCCGTTCTTGTGAAGCTTGATATTACATTGTAATATAGAATGAAGTAATTATACAACTCAACATCATGTAGAATCAGTGGGAGCCCTGAGTTTGTTTTCCTGCAACTAGATGGTCCCATCTAGGGATCGTGTGGAGACAGTGACAGATCATCAGGCATTAGATTTTCATAAGGAACACGCAGCTTAGATCTCTCGAACGTGCAGTTCACAATAGGGTTCACACTCCTATGACAATCTAATGGCACTGCTGATCTGACAGGAGGTGGAGCTCAGGCAGTAATGCCAGCAATGGGGAGTGGCTGTGAATACAGATGAAGCTTCGCTCCCTCGCCTGCTGCTCACCTCCTGCTGTTTGGCCTGGTTCCTAACAGGCCACAGACTGGTATGGGTCCATGGCCCGGGGGTTGGGGACCTCTGCCTTATAGGGAAAACTGATTAGATCATTGTTCTTTGCTTGTAAATGTTCTCATGTAGCCAACTAGACTTTGTCACCACCACCATTTTTTTCCCTAGAGAGGCTATGTGGTGGCTTTTAATCCCATTTTGGCTCTACAACTCAGGTCCAAAATATGTCCCATGCTCTTCCTCTAAGAGAAGACATTGGCCAGAAAGCAAGGAGAAGCTGTATCCAGAAAGTAAAGAATCTGTAATCAATGCATCTCCTTGGGTCACTCGGCAGTTTCAACATTCCATGGAGCTGGTAAGATCTGTGAGCCAGGCTCTTGGTGGGACCTCAGCTCACTCTGCCGTCTCTCCCAGCTTTAGACCTGGGCTTCACGACTTCTAGCTGTGTGACCTTGGACAAATTGTCAGGTTCTCTGCTCCTTGGTTTCCCCATGTATAAAATAGGAACTCCTGTGCCTTTCTTGTAGGCTTGTCATGAGAATGAAATGAGTTAATACATGCAAATGCTTAGTGCTCAGCACTCAATAAAAGTCAGCCAATATCGTTGTTGCTATTAGCTTCTTCATATTTCAAATACGGATTTCTTTAACTTTTTCGTGCCACGACCTGCTTTGGAAGAATGGTGACGTCATAGACTCCTGAAAGCAGTGTGCTTAAATGAATAGAATAAAATCCACACAATTTGACAGGCAGCCAATTATATTGAAGCACGTTATCAAAATAATTCTTTAACCATGACAAAATAATTCATGTGCTTATTTATTACCATATTAAATAACAGAACCCTGCAGCAGGCCCTATAGCCACCAAAATTCACCTAAGTGATAAGTATGAATAATGTTCCAAAAATAAGCACCAACTGTAATATCTGAAGTTTCTCTTGGTGATAAAGTCATAGGTTACCGTGTTTGTTGCCTCCAATTATAATGGAAGAAAATGCTGAATTACAGCTAAAAACTGGTGAAAATATGACGCAATTGCTTTCCTATCCAGGTTCATGGATGCCTGAATTCTATCCATGGTTTTCTGGACTATGTGCCAAATCTCCCAGCCCATGTCTCTAGGATTTGGCTCTGGCTGGGACGACTTTGGGAACCTTGCTATGTGTCCAGTTTTCTATACAGAAGCCTGGACAAGAACCCCTTCCTTTGGGCTGCCAGAAACCACAAGATGCGAGTTCTCCCTGCCGCCTCCAATATGAATAAGCAGGTCCACAACCAAAGACAGCCTCATCCCTCAGAGAATTAAATAGGACCCCTTTGGTTTTTGGATATAGAAGGTGATTTTTAAAGCCTGGAGGAGAATTTGGCTAAATGAAAATTTAGGGAGGAAGGAAGACAAATGAAGCCAGCTACCGATTACTCATGAAAAGAAAAGAGAAGAAAGCAAGCAAGGATAATCCACAAAGAATGGATAATAGAGAAACATTCCCTTTCTGCTGCCGTGAGGACCACAGTGAAACAGGAGCTCGCTTGCCACTGCCATCTGGGCACCATCCCGCTGTCCGCATCCAACACAGCTAATTTGCTCCAGTGAAACTTCAAGTAGCCAAAGTCATCATTTAAGCACAGTAAAAGAAAGAGAAGACTTAATTGGATGACATCAATTTGCACAATAACACGAGTAGGTGGTCTCATAGAAGACCAGATAATAAAGTGAACAGGTCTGCCTGGAATAATAACAAAGGTGTCAGTTAAAACGATGTCTCAAGTACAACACCTTTCTCCTCCGTGTCTCAGGGGCCCTTCCTGGTATGTGAAAAGAAATCTAGAGTGTTCGTGTAGGCCTAGCTCTTACTCAGCTTTCAGCCTTCACCTAAATGTCACATGGAGAGGAAGGTCCTGATGGTCTAGAGGAAGGAAGGTCTAGAGGAAGGTCCTGATGCCCACCAGTGTGGCGCTCATTCTGTGCTCGTTCTGGCTCCACCGTTGTGTCTTCCTTTACCACGGGCACCACAGTTGTCATCCAAGCAGCCAAAGTCATCATTTAAGCACGGTAAAAGAAAGCACAGTCACTTACTTGTGTGTTGACCTGTCTACTGTCTGTCTTCCCACTGAATCTCAAGCCTTATGATTCCAGGGACTTTGTCTCTTTTGTTTATCATTGTAGACTCAATGCCCAGGCCAATGCTCGGCACATAGTAGGTACTCAGTAAATATTTGTTGAATGACTGAACAATCAAATGAGGTCACCAGTGACTTCCCAGTTGCTCAATTTATTGAATTGTTTCCTTTTAAAGTTTAAAAAATAATGTTTTTATTGTTCCTGATTATAACATAATACATATTTATGGATACCAAGAAGAAATTTAACTATCATTTCATCACCCAGAGAGAATACTTTTTGTATATTTTCTGCATTTTGTATATTTTTGTATATTTTCTGCATTTCCAAATATATAATAGAGTTATATTTTTGTGCACATATATGTATTAAGTATAATTAAAATTGTACCTTATATGTGATCTTATATCCTGGCTTAAGACTTTTTACATCTCATTGAAACTTTTGAACACCACTTCAATGGGTTCATCACTTTCTTAATCAGTTCCATATTATTAAAAATTAATTCAGAATTTTCACTATTATCAGTGATGCTGAAAGGGACACTTTTATGCATTAATTTCATGTGGACTCTTCCATCCTACTCTTTTTATGTTGAGTGACTTTGCTGATTTTGACCCACTGTATTTGACCCTCATAAAATGTCAGTTTAGTTTGATCCGATCTAACCCTTGACCTTTCTGCAGCTTTTAACATTAGCATCCTTGCCCCTCCTGGTTGTAATTCACTCCTGACTTTCTGCACTTCCTACCTCCCTCACTGTTTTCTTCTGCCCTATTTTCTTCTGCTCCCGTGGCTCAGCCTTTGGCTGCCTCCCTGCCTGTCTGTCCTCCATGGGCAACGTTGCCCAGCACCACTTCGATGCTGCAGATTTGATTGCAGATCCAGGTCTTCAGCCCTGTTGTCACTCCTGAGCACCAGCCTACCAGATGGTTCCACCCAAATGTTCCACCCCAGCTCAAGCCCAGCTCCAGCCCCACCTTGGATGGCTTCAGCCTCCACCAGGCTGCCAACAGTGCCTCCCTCTCAGGTCACTCCCAGGGTTAAATGAGAGAAGCACATTTCATTGATACACACACACACACACACACACACACACACACACACTTTAATGGCTCTGAGATGGAGATGCATCTTGCAGCACATGGTGTGCTATGGTTTTCCAAAACAACAGATGCAATCTGTCACCAATGAAATGAAATATGCACAGGACAGTGCCTGGCACAGAGGAAGTGCCCAACAAGTCTCCAGAGGGTGATGGTGAACTTCCAGGAGGAGGCCACCAACCATCCACCATTATTCCCTGCTTCCACAAATCTCCCTAGTTCACCAAACTCTCAGCCCTAACCCTGGTGGGTTCTTTACTTCGTGCTCCTCTGTGCTCCACAGCCAGGGTCAAACCCCTACTCTAGGCGCTTCCGCAGCCCCCCATGGCTCCCTCTCCATCCAATGCAGCCTCCTGAACAGGTTTCACCGGTCCCATCTCACCACTGCAGTGGGCTGGCATCGATGCCCCTCCCTCCCACTTCATGCTCCCCAGTCCAGCCCCAGCCTGTCCACAGGGGTCTTTCTCAAGTGCCTGCGGAGTCTGGTTTGAAGCCATTCAGTGGCTCCACACTGTCTTCCACATGTGCCAGACTCTGTGCACTGCTAGACCCTCCAAAATCCAACCCCTGCCAACCTCCCTCACCTCTCTCCCATGGGCGCCTGGGTGCTTGCCCTCCCCGCCTGGGACCCTGCTCTCCGCCATGGGTGCCCGGGTGCTCGCCCTCCCTGCCTGGGACCCCACTCTCTCCCACTCATCTTGTCCAGCATCTGCTCTGCTGACCACGCTCAGGAAGCACCGGGAGACTTCCCCGCTGTGCCCCATTGTGCTCACCCTGAAAACGCCCCTCCCGCCGTGCAAAGCGAGCGCGCCGGGGCTGAGTGTGCCCTTCGCTCCTCTCTGAGCCAGCAGCTCCCACTCCAGCACCTGGAGAACCGGTTTCTTAAATGTTGGTTCAGTGGGAAGCAGGAGCAACCCTCCACCCCGGGACCCCTTCCTGCTCTGGAGCCTGTTGGCCCTGTGGAGGGAATGGCAGCCTTAATAAAATCCAAATTTCAAAATGTGTGTGCTCTTTCGTGGAGTCTGCACAGGGGGAAGAGAGAACAGGAACTTCGCAGAGTGCGGAAGAAAACACGGCCATTCTGGAAGGAATCACACACTCAGAACCATGGTATGGAGCTCAAAGGTGGTGTGAAGACTGGGGCAGGGCTGAGAAGTCCCGGGTGCTGGTGTGGAATCTCCCTGGAGACAGCAGATACGCCTAGCAAAAAGGTACCCGCACCTTCTTTTTCATCTAAAATCCATAGCTATTTGAAATTTCCCGTTTTACTTCATCAGATTCATCAGAATTATGTACTCACTCATTCTTTGCCGTATTAGAGCATTTTGTTCAATTGTCAGCAAGGATATGTCAAATGGTCACATCCTGTAACAGGAGATGCAAAACAGTCACTCAGCTGATGACCTCACCCACCACGCATTTGTTCACGAAGTTGAGGAAATTAAAATAAGCTCAGCTGATTGATTGTAGATTGTGAGAGAAAGATTTGGTGAAAATAACTTAGCCAGATAGTATGCATACAACATCATTAACATCAGGTTGGCCAGGCGCAGTGGCTCACGTCTATAACCCCCAGCACTTTGGGAGGCTGAGGTAGGAGCATCGCTTGAGCTGAGGAGTTCGAGACCAGCCTGGGAAACATAGTGAGCCACTGTCTCTATTAAAAAAAGAAAAAGAGGCAGGGCATGGTGGCTCATGCCTATAATCCCAGCACTTTGGGAGGCCAAGGCGGGTGGATAACGATGTCAGGAGATGGAGACCATCCTGGCTAACACAGTGAAACCCTGTCTCTACTAAAAAAAATACAAAAAATTAGCCAAGTATGGTGGCACAAAATTGCAATCCCAGCTACTCGGGAGGCTGAGGCAGGAGAATCACTTGAACCCAGGAGACGGAGGTTGCAGTGAGCCGAGATCTTGCCACTGCACTCCAGCCTGGGCAACAGATCGAGACTCCGTCTCAAAATAAATAAAATAAAAATTAAAAAGAAAAGGAAAAAAGAAAAAAAGAAATCATGTGATGATCCTGAATTAGCTGTCCCACAGAATCCAAAATGGAAAGAGTTAAAAATTTGAGTTTGTCCCACAATTTAAGTTCTAAACTCTCTTCATTTTATTCAAATTGACAAAATTGTAATTGTAAAGGAAGAACCATGAGATTTAAATTTTGTCATTAATATACTGCTTATAAATATCCCCAATAAATCAAATTAATTAAAGAGTTTTAAAGATCTTCCATCACTCGCTTTACCTGTATATATAACCGTTATATTGTGGACCATTATAATGTGGAAGATTGCTTTCCTTAAAATCCAGCCCATCATAAGGAAAAATATGTAGACACCAAAGATTAAATAAATGCTCCAGGACCATGGACCCCACCCCTGCACAAACTCCAGAACCACAGACCCCACCCCTGGACAAGCTCAAGGACCACAGACCCCACCCCTGTGGAAGCTCCAAGACCATGAACCCCACCCCTGCACAAGCTCTAGGATCACGAATCCCACCCCTATGGAAACTCCAGGACCACAGAACCCATCCCTGTGGAAGCTCCAGGACCACAGACCCCACCCCTGTGGAAGCTCCAGGACCACAGACCCCACCCCTGGACAAGCTCCAGGCCAATGAACCCCACCCCTGTGGAAGCTCCAGCACCATGAACCCCACCCCTATGGAAACTCCAGGACCACAGAACCCATCCCTGTGGAAGCTCCAGGACCACGGATCCTACCCCTGGACAAGCTCTAGGACCACAGACCCCCACCCCTGTGGAAGCTCCAGGACCATGAACCCCACCCCTGCACAAGCTCCAGGACCATGAACCCTACCCCTATGGAAGCTCCAGGACCACAGACCCCATCCCTGTGGAAGCTCCAGGACCACAGACCCCACCCCTGGACAAGCTCCAGGACCACAGACCCCACCCCTGTGGAAGCTCCAGGACCACGAACCCCACCCCTGGACAAGCTCCAGGACCACAAACCCCACCCCTATGGAAGCTCCAGGACCACAAACCCCACCCCTGGACAAGCTCCAGGACCACAGACCCCCACCCCTATGGAAGCTCCAGGACCACAGACCCCATCCCTGTGGAAGCTCCAGGACCACAGACCCCACCCGTGTACAAGCTCCTAACCCTAACCCTAACCCTAACCCTGAACGAGCTTCAGAACCACAGACCCCAACCCCGGACAAGTTCTAGGATCACAGGCTCTACCCCTGCGCACCTACTTGAAGTAGCACCTCATTGCCTTGCCCCCTGCAGTTTCCACAGGTATTTGTGCTGATGTCAGCTTTGCAGTGCTTCCTTCCATGCTTGGTACAACATCGTAAGCCCAGCTCTGCTGCTTGCTGGACATCTCTTATAGAATCCCGAAGAGTGAAGAGAACAAGTACCTGTGCAAAGACGCATGACTGTTAAGCAGCTACTAACTCTGAAGGCATTCAGAAAATCTAGTCTGCTTTGCAATTTACATTGAAATTTTAAACATTTCAAGTCCAATCAATTTTCTCAAATCTTTTAACTACAAAGCTAATATTTGCTTTCTGTAAACCATAAAATGTCAAACAGTATAGAGGGTGTAAGGAACATGGGAGTCTTCTCTTGGATGGCAGCCCCTGGAAGTAATCACTGTTAGCAACTTGCATGTGAACTTTGATTTTTATTTGTCAAGTACATATATTTGAGGTTTTGTTTGTTTGTTTGTTTGTTGAGATGGAGTCTCACTCTGTCACCCAGGCTGGAGTGCAGTGGCGCGATCTTGGCTCACTGCAACTTCTGCCACCCAAGTTCAAGTGATTCTCCTGCCTCAGCCTCCTCAGTAGCTGGGGTTATAGGCATGAGCCACTGCACCCGGCCATATTTGTTTGTTTAAACAAAAATGGAGTCCTACTCTACGTAGTTTTCTGTAAATTGCTCATTTCACTCAATAATGTATCATACAAATAGTTTCATTCCATACATGAAAGTCTTCTTCATTCCTTTTTTAGCAATTACAAAATATTTTATACAGATTTGCCTTAATTTATTTAATCAGTCCCCTAATTATTGAAATTTAGGTTGTTTTCAGTTTTTCGATATTCCAAGTGAAACTATGATGATCATCTTAACCCATATGTATCTTTACACAAAATTATGCTGTAACTTATATTCCTAGAAGGAAAATGGTTAAATCAAAGGTAAGCACATTTAGATTTTCAATGGATACCACCTAATTGCCCCCCACAAACAGTCTAGCAATTTTCACCTCTGCTTAAAGTGGTCCCAAAGTGTCTGTCTCCTCATAATTTTGCCAACCCTGGGTAGTAAATATATTTTTAAACTTTGGACCATCTGATTTCTTCTTGTATGAATTGTCTGTTCATAGCCTTTGACCAAATTCTTATCATATGTTACTTTTCGTTATTAATCTATAGTAAGTATATGTTATCAATATTTACCTTTTTTCTATTATCAATGTCATAAGTATCTCTTCCACATTATTACTTATCAATTCACCTAAGTTTATTTTAAGGTAGTCAAATCCATCAATAATTTCCCTTATGGCATCTGGTCTGTGTGCCATACACAGAAAGGGCTCTCTCAAGCTAAGATTATGCAAGTATTCTCCTGTATTCTCTTCTAATACTATAAGTTTTCTTGATTACCTTTCAGTTTTTAGTAAATATGGAACTTAATAACTATGGAATTTTTGTGTATTGTGCAAGTTAGAGATCAATGTTTATTTTTTCAGTTTATTACAAGTTATTAAAAATCAGTTTACAATGTCAAAAACTCTATTCTTCACACTTCATAGAAATTGTTCTCCAGAGATTTGTAGCAGTGCTTTCCCATGTCCTCACCAACATGAAGGGTTACCCGTGGGGGCACTCTTTGCTCATTTCACTGCCAAAAGCAGTGTCTGCTTTGATGCTGTCCCTCTTTGACTACAGGTGAGACGCTTTCTCCCTCACTATTCTCTCTCACAATGACAGATCACTGTGGTGATGTGTCACAATTCCATCTGTGGGCTGGGCTCAGGTAGGAGAGTCAAATTGCTCAGGTGCTTGGCAGAGGCTTATGTCAAAGTCAAACCTGCAGGAAGTTTTGGGGATGAGATTTAACAATCCCGCACATGTCTTGTTTCTAGGTATGAGAGTCAGCACCTCCTATATGTTGGGTCTAAGTACACAAGTCACAATCTCACTAGTGGACTGAATTCGTGCATGAGAGCCTCCCAGAGCCTCCCACCTCTTCTGCTGGCTTTGCCCTTGTGAAATCACAGCCCCACAGGTGTGCTTCTCCCAGCCTGTCTGTGTCTGCGACACTCCTTCTCCAGGGATCTCAGTGCTTTTATCCACATTGTCACCTCCACTGCCCTCCTCCCGGCTTGTTTTCAGACATCATTTTATTTTTTACTTATTTATTTTCTGTTATACTTTAAGTTCTAGGGTACATGTGTACAATGTGCAGGTTTGTTACATATCTATATATGTGCCATGTTGGTGTGCCTCACCCACTAACTTGTCATCTACGTTAGGTATATCTCCTAATGCTATCCCTCCCCACTCCCCCCACCCCACGACAGGCCCCGGTGTGTGACGCTAACCTTCCTGTGTCCATGTGTTCTCATTGTTCAATTCCCACCTATGAATAAGAACATGCGGTGTTTGGTTTTTTGACCTTGCAATAGTTTGCTGAGAATGATGGTTTCCAGCTTCATCCATGTCCCTACAAAGGACATGAACTCATCCTTTTTTATGGCTGCATAGTATTCCATGGTGCATATGTGCCACATTTTCTTAATCCAGTCTGTCATTGATGGACATTTGGGTTGGTTCCAAGTCTTTGCTATTGGGAATAGTGCTGCAATAAACATACGTGTGCATGTGTCTTTATAGCAGCATGATTTATAATCCTTTGGGTATATGCCCAGTAATGGGATGACTGGGTCAAATGGTATTTCTAGTTCTAGATCCTTGAGGAATTGCCACACTGTCTTCCACAATGGTTGAACTAGTTTACAGTCCCACCAACAGTGTAAAAGTGTTCCTATTTCTCCACATCTTCTCCAGCACCTGTTGTTTCCTGACTTTTTAATGATGGCCATTCTAACTGGTGTGAGATGGTATCTCATTGTGGTTTTGATTTGCATTTCTCTGATGGCCAGTGATGGTGAGCATTTTTTCATGTGTCTGTTGGCTGCATAAATGTCTTCTTTTGAGAAGTGTCTGTTCATATGCTTTGCCCACTTTTTGATGGGGTTGAATAAAGAATAAAAGAGAGAAGAATCAAATAGATGCAATAAAAAATGATAAAGGGGATATCACCACTGATCCCACAGAAATACAAACTACCATCAGAGAATACTATAAACACCTCTACGCAAATAAACTAGAAAATCTAGAAGAAATGGATAAATTCCTGGACACATACACCCTCCCAAGACTAAACCAGGAAGAAGTTGAATCCCTGAATACACCAATAACAGGTTCTGAAATTGAGGCAATAATAGCCTACCATCCAAAAAAAGTCCAGGACCAGATGGATTCACAGCCGAATTCTACCAGAGGTGCAAGGAGGAGCTGATACCATTCTTTCTGAAACTATTCCAATCAATAGAAAAAGTGGGAATCCTCCCTAACTCATTTTATGAGGCCAGCATCATCCTGATACCAAAGCCTGGCAGAGACACAACAAAGAAAGAGAATTTTAGACCAATATCCCTGGTGAACATCAATGCAAAAATCCTCAATAAAATACTGGCAAACCGAATCCAGCAGCACATCAAAAAGCTTATCCACCATGATCAAGTAGGCTTCATCCCTGGGATGCAAGCCTGGTTCAACATATGCAAATCAATAAATGTAATCCAGCATATAAACAGAACTAATGACAAAAACCACATGATTATCTCAATAGATACAGAAAAGGCCTTTGACAAAATTCAACAGCCCTTCATGCTAAAAACTCTCAATAAATTCGGTATTGATAGGACGTATCTCAAAATAATAAGAGCTATTTATGACAAACTCACAGCCAATATCACACTGAATGGGCAAAAACTGGAAGCATTCCCTTTGAAAACTGGCACAAGACAGGGATGCCCTCTCTCACCACTCCTATTCAACATAGTGTTGGAAGTTCTGGCCAGGGCAATCAGGCAGGAGAAAGAAATAAAGGGTATTCAATTAGGAAAAGAGGAAGTCAAATTGTCCCTGTTTGCAGATGACGTGATTGTATATTTAGAAAACCCCATCATCTCACCCCAAAATCTCCTTAAGCTGATAAGCAACTTCAGCAAAGTCTCAGGATACAAAATCAATGTGCAAAAATCACAAGCATTCTTATGCACCAATAGCAGACAAACAGAGAGCCAAATCATGAGTGAACTCCCATTCACAATTGCTTCAAAGAGAATAAAATACCTAGGAATCCAACTTACAAGGGATGTGAAGGACCTCTTCAAAGAGAACTATAAACCACTGCTCAACAAAATAAAAGAAGACACAAACAAATGGAAGAACATTCCACGCTCATGGATAGGAAGAATCAATATAGTGAAAATGGCCATACTGCCCAAGGTAATTTATAGATTCAATGCCATCCCCATCAAGCTACCAATGACTTTCTTCACAGAATTGGAAAAAACTACTTTGAAGTTCATATGGAACCAAAAAAGAGCCCACATTGCAAAGACAATCCTAAGCCAAAAGAACAAAGCTGGAGGCATCATGTTACCTGACTTCAAACTATACTACAAGGCTACAGTAACCAAAACAGCATGATACTGGTACCAAAACAGAGATATAGACCAATGGAACAGAACAGAGCCCTCAGAAACAATAATACACATCTACAACCATTTGATCTTTGACAAACCTGACAAAAACAAGAAATGGGGAAAGGATTCCCTATTTAATAAATGGTGCTGGGAAAACTGGCTAGCCACATGTAGAAAGCTGAAATTGGATCCCTTCCTTACACCTTATACAAAAATTAATTCAAGATGGATTGAAGACTTAAATGTAAGACCTAAAACCATAAAAAGCCTAGAAGAAAACCTAGGCAATACCATTCAGGACATAGGCATGGGCAAGGACTTCATGACTAAAACACCAAAAGCAATGGCAACAAAAGCCAAAATTGACAAATGGGATCTAATTAAACTAAAGAACTTCTGCACAGCAAAAGAAACTACCATCAGAGTGAACAGGCAACCTACGGAATGGGAGAAAATTTTTGCAATCTACTCATCTGACAAAGGGCTAATATCCAGAATCTACAAAGAACTCAAACAAATTTACATCATTTTATTTTTAATATCTTTGGGTCATTTTATTTTATATTGTCTCATAAACAGAATAGCATAATTTTGCATTTTAACCTAGTCCCAGAGGCTTTCCCCGCTCAGTTTTATCCATTTATATGTATTGACATAAGTATATTGTATTTGTTCTCATTTCTGGCTCTTTTGTTTTCATTTCCTTACTTTTCCTCCTCTTATATTAATACTATTGAGTTTTTCCTCAGCAAATGTCAAGACAGTGCTTGCAACCAATGTTTCAAATTTATACTTCATTTACTTTCTTTGGCTCTCTTATTCTTCCTGCTTTATGTAACAGGAAACAGATAAAGCCCACCACAAAAGCAATGTTAAGATAAAGTCAAACAAAAAAAGGGAAAACAGAAGCACTAGAAAGAGTTTCCTGCAGCCACAGACCAGTCACTGCACTTTATTGAAGTCCCCAGCTTTGGCAATATGGTTCAAGTGTAGGCTCCAAGACAGAGCTGGGGAGGGGCAGGCTCTTGCAGGACACTGGCTCCGAGGCATGCCTCCCCCACTGCCCTGTACCTGGACAAAAACGGGAAACATGGGAAACGACTCATTGTCTCTGAACCTCAAGCTGGAATTATGGTCTGTGTGTCCCAAGAAGATGGCTTTCTCAGCAGCATCTTTAAGCTCCTAGGGCCTTTGGCTCCTGTGTGTGAGGGAGGAAGGAGGCGATGGGCCCAGGGCCATAGGGTACCTCAGTCTTCAGTCCCCTTCTCTGCCATGGGGTCTGCAGTTTTGAACTACTGGAACGTGAATGCGTCTCTCGGTGGTGCTTCCCCACCTTGGAAACAGACCAGCCACGTACCAAGCTGGCGACGAGGGAGCACGGCACACACGTCTTCTCATTTTAGAAAGAAAAACAAAGTTAATTTATTTGAAAACTGTAGGTTTAGGAAAGAAAAATGCTAAGTGTTATGAGACCAGAAACCTGAAACACAGCCTTCAGAAGACCCTCCTGGGCCCAGCGGCCACCTTGACCTGCTGTTGGACCACCTCCCTATGGTTCGGCCAGCTGCCAGACCTTTGGGATCCGGGATCTTTGCTCTGGGATCTTCGCTGGCCTCGCATGGATGGGACACATCACTTTACCTTTATAGTCCCAGAAATTCATGACACTGGCAGAGAACCCCTTCCCTGCTCTCCAGAGCCCAGGCCCCTCTCCTCTGCCCCAAAGCTTCACCTGACGGAGGCTGTACTGCTAGTCTCCTGGATATCTCAATCTGGTTTAAATATTAACTCGCAAAATTTCTCAAACATTTTAAAGGAAGGATTTCAATTTTCCATCCTCCTTACCCCTTCAAGTCATTTATCCCTAACTCCAAAATGAGAAGATAATAATTTTGTACCTGTTTCTACTGAAGGATTTATATAAGATTATCCAACAAAACCCACTGGCCATCCTGGCACTTCCTGGAGCCCCCAGCTAACTGGAAGTATGCATTGCTCTAATTTAGTGCCCCAACCCCAATAACTCCTGCACATGAGAAAGAAGCAAAAATTAAACAAACACAAATGATCTCCAGGAGCAAAATTAGCTGTTTAAATAATCGGCTGACTCAGTGCAGGTTGACACAGGACACACAATGGATGTGAGTTGGCTTTGAGCTCCTTGGCCTCCAACCATCATCTCGGACAAAAGCTCAGCCTCGGGGAGCCCCATTCTCGCTTCTAAAGATGGGACAGGAACCACCTCCTGGACCTCACGTCAGGGTTAAGTGAATAACATTTGCAAAAATGACTGTGAAAGTGACTCACACTTGGCTGGGCATGGTGGCTCATGCCTGTAATCCCAGCACTTCGGGAGGCCGAGACAGGCGGATCACGATTTCAGGAGATCGAGACCATCCTGGCCAACATGGTGAAACCCCGTCTCTACTAAAAATACAAAAATTAGCTGAGTGTAGTGGCGTGCGCCTGTAGTCCCAGCTACTCAGGAGGCTGAGGCAGGAGGATCGCTTGAACCAGGGAGGCGGAGGTTGCAGTGAGCCGACATCGCGCCACTGCACTCCAGCTTAGGCGACAGAGCGAGACTACGTCTCAAAAAAACAAAAAAACAAAAAAAGTGACTCACACTTACTTGGCAAAAGATAAATTTGAGTTTCTTTCCTTTTTCCTCCTGAAGGCCCTTTACCATCCAGCAACAAGCCAACATGGCTCAGTTTACTGATTCCGGGAAAAGTACTTTGCTGCATTTCAGAAAGATGTTTAACAACAAAACTGACAAAAGGTTATCTGATTATTTGAATAGAGATTTCTCCCAACAGGATATACAAATGGCCAATAAGTGCATGAGAAGATGTTCAATGTTATTAGTAAATGCAAATGAAGACCACAGTGAGATGTCACTTGCAGCCACTAACTTGTCTGCAATCAAAAGGTAGATTACAATAAGGATGTGGAGAAACTGGAACCCTCATAGGCTGCTGGTAGGGGTAAACAGTGGTATGTATACATATGTAACAAACCTGCACATTGTGCACATGTACCCTAGAACTTAAAGTGTAATAAAAAAAAAAGGAAATGAAATAAAAGGTACACAAACTTAAAATGAAAAGAAAAAAAAAGAGTGGTGCAGCCACTTTGGAAAACAGTTTGGTAGTTCATCAAAAAGTTAAACAGTTACCAAATCACCCAGCAACTCCACTCCTAGGTCTATATTCGAGAGACTTGAAAACATACATTCATGCAAAAACCCATACACTGATGTTCATAGCAGCACAGTTCACAATGACCAAGAGGTGTAAACAACCCAAATGTCTATCAACTGATGAACAGATAAAACGTGGTATAGCCATAGAATGGAATATTATTCTACCATAAAAAGGAATGATACTAGTTACAGAATGGATAAACCTTAAAGACATTATTATGTTCCGTGAAAAAGCTGGATACTAAATGCCGCATGTTGTCTGATCCCTTTTATATGAAATGTCCAGAATAGGCACATTCAAAGAGACAAAAAGTAATCAGTGGTTGTCGGGGCTGGGGGAAGGGAAATTGGGGAGTGATCCCAAAGGAGTTTGATTTTTGGAGGGGGAGGTGATGAAGATGTTCTGAAATTATATTGTGACAATAGTTGCACAACTCTGAATATACCAAAACACACTAAAATATACACTATAAAGGGGTATAGAATTGTATCTAAATAAAGCTGTTATTTTAAAAATTGTATGTTTAATTCTAAGTAAAGACTTGTCAATGAGTTGAAATATTCCATTTCCCAAGTAAGTTGATAGTTTCTTGTTCTTGCCTAAGAAAGCGTTAGTTTCAAATATGTATTTTAAATCCAGCAGGAAGTGAAACTGGATTAGCAAGCGCACAGCCAAGCCTGGACCCTAAAAGAGAAGTGAGGAAGGGTAAGGATTCAGAACACAAATCCAGAAAGAAGACAAGTGTGATGAGGGAGTCACAAGGAAGACCCACAAGGCCAGCCATGAGCTCCCCCAGGCTAACACAGCCAGCGGTCTCAGGGCAGTGTGGGGAATCAGCCTTGCCCAGGGCCGGGGCCAGGGCAGCCCCGCTGTCTTCCTCTCTTCACTGTTATCACAGCCGGAGCAGCTGTGAAGTGCCCAGGAGGCAGCTCCTCAAACGGTGTTTCAACAATGTGCCCGAGCAGATGACGCAGCAAAACTATTTTCTGTGCTTCTTGGACTCTGATAACTGGAAACAAACTATGCAGAGTCATGTTAGGAGGTGAGGGTTTGAATTAGATTGTTTTCTCTAGCTATGAAGACTTATTCTGTTACTGTATTTTGAGCTGTGGTGGATTTGTCTATAATTCCTAGGTGGATTTTTAACTTACCTTAAAAGCTCTGTGATTGTTCCTTTAACAAATATCTAAATAAATCAGATTAAAATTTTTGAACGTGATGAAACTACAGCTTGACTCCAGAATACATAACCTAAGATATAAAAAAGACCCAGAGGGCCAGGCACGATGGCTCACGCCTGTAATCCCAGCACTTTGAGGGGCCGAGGTGGGCGGATCACAAGGTGAGGAGTTCGAGACCAGCCTGACCAACATGGTGAAACCCCATCTCTACTAAAAATACAAAGAAGTTAGCCAGGCATGGTGGCGGGCACCTGTAATCCCAGCTACTCAGAAGGCTGAGGCAGGAGAATCGCTTGAACCTGGGAGATGGAGGTTGCAGTGAGCCGAGAACGCGCCACTGCACTCCAACCGGGGCGACAGAGCAAGACTCCATCTCAAAAAAAAAAAAAAAAAGAAAGAAAAAAGAAAAGAAAAGAAAAGAAAAAAGGACCCAGAGAGTCTCGGTTGGAGACATCAAGGGTATGTCTGAGAGCCCTTGGGATCTGCTTAGTTCTCTATCAGCCCCAGGTAAGATCCCGCCTAAGCTGTTCCACAACAATGAACATCAGCCCATGGGCAATGCCTTTTAAAAATGAGTTAAAAGACTCACACACACCTTCATTCATTCAACAGAACTCTGCATATGTAGTCTCAGCCTCATGGAGCTGATAGCTAGCCCCTCAGAAATGTCACGGTCCCTAACTACTCTTTGCTATTTATTTATTTATTATTTTTATTTTATTTATTTATTTTTTGAGATGGATGGGATTACAGGCACATGCACCACCACTCCCAGCTAATTTTTGTATTTTTAGTAGAGACGGGGTTTCACCATGTTGACCAGGCTGGTCTTGAATGCCTGACCTCAGGTGATCTGTCTGCCTTGGCCTCCCAAAGTACTCTTTGCTATTTTTAACCTATATTATAGATTTAAATTTTTGTTTTGTTTTGTTTGAATGAAAATAAGAAGATAATTTCAGGCTGGGCATGGTATCGCACACCTACATTCCCAGCAGTTTGGGAGGCCAAGGTGGGAGGGTCGCATGAGCCCAGGAATTCAAGACCAGCCTGGGCCACATGATGAGACCCCGTCTCTACCAAAAAAAAAAAAAAAAAAAAAAAGAAGCAGCAGCTAATTTCATTCCTTATTTCATTCCTTTATGCACAAGCCCCTTTAAAATACACTTGACATGAATAGCAGAGCTTGCCTCCGGCTCCTCCATGCAGAATTCGGCAATCCCAGGTTCCTCACCGCTCCTCAGGGTGGACCTTCCATTGACAGTGTTTAAAATCACAGACTGTGGGGTCAGACAGGCCTGGATGTGGATTCTGGGTCTCCTGCTGATCCCCCGAGTGGACCTCCCGAAGCCTCTCCTGTGCAGCAGGTGGTGCTGGAGCCTGAGATGCCGGCATCGGGCCGGGAGGAGCTGGGCCTCTGCCCACTGCAGCCATGACCTCTCCAGGCAGCCCCGCCCCCCTGTGTCGTGAAGCGCAACTGGGCACAGGACCTCCATTAACAGTCCACGTCTGTGCTAAACTTGATGGAAAAAATGGCCTCTCCATAGCGATTTGTGTCCTTGGTTTGCAAGCCTCGAATTTGCACCTCCTTTTCGAGGTGGCAGTTTAGGGTTGACTCTGGCAGCATTTTCCGAATGTGCCTGCCTGTGTGTCCCCACCTTGTTCCACCCCACAAGGGTTGTGCTGTAGGAGTCCTGGCCTCTGCCAGCCCTCCCTGATGGGCCCTAATGCAATGAACGTCAAAGGATCTATCACAAAACTAGAAAGGCTGCTGTCTGGTCCTGAGAACATTGTTCTCTTTTCAATCTCTCTTTCCAGAGAGCAAACAGTTTATAAAGACTGACAAATTGCTACACATAGTCAAGAAGTAGACAAAATCTTGCCATTACACAGAAGAGCCATAATGTCAGCTCTTTTCCCTTCTGGACTTTGCTCAGAGAGTCAGTGGACAAATGAGCATCCTGCCAGCAGCCTTAGTGTAAAAACCAGCCACCCACAAGCTCTGATGACCTGAAAAGTCAAGTACCAGGTGCATTTTCAGATCCAGAGATGTGTCTGTCCCATGTTACTCTGGGTATCAAATTAATTGAAACCTATAGAACTTTGAAATGCTTTAAAACCATCATAAATATAATGGATGGAGCAGTGAGGACAGAAGCCTGTCTATCCTGTGTGAGGTGGGCACACAGGAAATACGTGTTAAATATAGAAAGGAAGAAAATAAAGGAGGGAGAGAAGAAGGGAGAAGGGAAAAGAAGGTAGAAAAGTAGTCCTATAGTGGAAGAGGAGGGGAAGAGACAGAAGGAGGAGGAGGAGGACAGAGGAGGGAGGGGGAGGGGGAAGGGCTAGGGAGGGGAGGAGAAGTGAGGGGGGAAAGGGGAGGGGAGGAAGGGGAGGGGGGAGGGGGGAGGGGAAGGGGAGGGAGGGGGAGGGAAAGGGGGAGGGGAGGGAGGGGGAGGGAAAGGGGGAGGGGAGGGAGGGGGAGGGAAAGGGGGAGGGGAAGGAGGGGGAGGGAAAGGGGGAGGGGAGGGAGGGGGGATGGAAAGGGGGAGGGGAGGAGAAGCGAAGCCGGGGGAGTGGAAGGGGAGGGGAGGGAGAAGAGAAGGAGGGAGGCAAAAAGGGGAGTGGGAGGGGACTGGGGAGGACGGACAAGGAGAAAGAAGGAGGAATAAGAATTGCAGGCGTGGCCCAGGCTGGTACTGGGGTGGGGGAAGGGAGTGCCCCCTGCAGAACAGGAGGCTGTTGCCCTAGGGTATGCAGGGCTCACCTGAGGAGCCTCCTTCATTCTGAGCCCTGAGCGCCTCCTCTGCCTCACTCCGGTCCCCACCCTGCAGTGGTGAAGCCAAAGTCGGTAAAGCAGTGGCTGCTGTGTGTTTTCTCCAGGTCAGTGGGACATGGGGCTGCTGGACATCTCAGCCCTTTGGCCGTGGCTCTGCCGAGTTTGATCGCCACACTCTTCCCTGCTGCCACCAGAAGGGTCACACAAGGCCACTCTCAGGACTCCCAGACCTCATCTGTCTCAGAGAAGAACGAGGCCACTAT
Source organism: Homo sapiens (assembly GCF_000001405.40). Classification (NCBI taxonomy): domain Eukaryota; kingdom Metazoa; phylum Chordata; class Mammalia; order Primates; family Hominidae; genus Homo; species Homo sapiens. The sequence goes on from NC_000013.11 coordinate 114,226,079, forward strand.
AAAAGGGTGATGTCTTTGGCCTTAGGGGGCGTGTAGGCCCCTCTGGTTGCGATGTGGATAGAGTTCCAGATGTGAGGGAATGTTCTGGAAATGCAACCTGGGCAGCTGATGGAGTCCAGGCCCTTCGGGTGCTAACGCTGTGAAACATCTCTGTTTCAGAAATGGGTGCCAAGCCTGGAGGGCAGGCTTGCTTAGCAAAGAAGGCAAACTCTGGTGAGCTACAGCTGGGTTCAGCACATGGGTCTGGTAGGGAAACACACATTGAAACGTTATTAAAACCAGCAAGACTGACACAGGCGGCAGACTGTGACGTCTGTCCCATGTTACACTGAGCTTGTTTTCAGGTCCGGAGATGTGCCAAAGCCGTGCCACACTGGGCTGGAGCCACTCGTGAAATGTCATTACGCTCACACAGCTGCAAAGTTCTCAGTATTTACCAACTAGGACTTTTCTTGTATTGGTATTTGTTTAATTGTCTTCTCTCCTCAACAGTAACTATAATGTCCTAAAACTCCGTAGACAATAAATAGTTCTTTAAAGACCAGATTTAGTTTTCATGTAACCTACAGGTTGGGGAAGGGGAACCACAAATTGCATTGACCCTCAAAACAGTGGCTGAAATGGAAAGAACTCCTTAAACGGAACCCTTGGGGAATCCATCTGTAAAGCCCCATTGCCTCTCAGATTCTGTGATCTGGGCCTCGAGACAACCTTCAGAGTCCCTCGCTGCATGAGTGCATGTCTGGTCAGAGACTTTCAAAAACTGAAATGCCCCAGGCCAGCAGCCATCCGCTAACAAGGACCGTGGAGAAAAGCCCATGGATGCGTGGAGAAATGGTGCCCACTAGTGGCGATCTCCAGAATGGACGTCCTGTGAAGTAGATGCCGCTGGCCGGCGGTGGCTCACACCTGCCAGCACCTCAGGAGGCTGATACGGCGGGGGAGTGTGGGGGGCGGGGCGCATTGCTTGAGTCTGGAAATTCAAGACCAGCCCGAGCAACACAGTGAGACCCTACCTCTACAAAACATACAAAAACTAGCCGGATGTGGTGGTGCCTATGGTCCCAGCTACTCAGGAGGCTGAGGTGGGAAGATTGCTTGAGCCTGGGAGGTTTAGGCTGCAGTGAGCAGAGATCACACCAACGCACTCCAGCCTGGGTGACTGAGGGAGATCTTGTCTCAAAAACAAACAAACAAAAAAGATCCGGCTGACTGAAGTACCCAGGCAAATTAACCAGACACTTGGAGATTTTCTCATTTTCTACAAGGCTGAGGAGAAATTTTAAGGAGCCCACAATTCCAACACCCCATCACTCTTTCTCATGTTTTTCCCAATATTTTCATCAAATCATAAATTGTGGCAAAATAATGTATAATTCTCAATACATACAAAGTAACTCAGAATAAGGAGGACTGATCAAGAAGAATGTAACCAATCACCAAGTGCCACATTCACTGAAATCAGCAATTCATAAGCATAGTTATATGTGTGGTGTTGGGCAGGGGGGCTGTGGTGTGTGTGTGTGGTCTGTGTTGTGTACACCAGTGTGTGGTGTGTGACGTCTGTGGGGTATGTGTGTGGTATGTTGTGTGTGGACTAGTGTGCAGTGTGTAGTGTGTCTGTGAGGGGTGTGCACTAGTGTGTGGTGTGTGTGTCTGTGGGGTGTGTGTGTGGTATATTGTGTGGAGTATGTCTGTTGGGTTTGCACTAGTATGTGGGGTGTGGTATGTTGTGTGTGGTGTGTGTGGACTAGTGTGCGATGTGTAGTGTGTCTGTGGGGGGGTGTGCACCAGTGTGGGGGGTGTGTGTGTGTGTGTCTATCTCCAGATTAGATGATTTCCTGCTTTTTTTCAGTGATATACTGCTGTCATTTTTAAAAATTATCCTCAGCACTATGTTTCAGACAATAATGATAACATGTCTTGGCATAAGCAAGCTGTGTGTTAATAAAATATTTTTGACACTGAGCAACACCTGTAAGCATTGCAAACTATCCAGAGGCAGTTGTTTTTTTCACACATCACTGTAGGAAGCTTTTCCTCATTCATCTTATGGGCCCTCACTCACTGCGTTCCAGCCAGACTAGGTTTCTTTGCATTCCCTGAATGCCCTGGGCCTTCTCCCACCTCCACTCCCTCCCCTATCCACTGGTTCAACCAAATCCTTCAGTTCCATCTTGGCGTCCGTTTGAGGACCGCCACTGTGGCCTCCACAGGCGTCAAGCCTGTGTTCGCAGGGCCCTCCACAATCTGCACTCCGTCACCCGCTCCTGGCAGAACACTGGCACAGGAGACCAAAGTACACGTGGATGAGTCAATCAGAAGAACAACTTGTACTAGAAAGTGCTTTCCCAAATTTGACATCAAAATTGAGACCAGTGAACACTTTCATGGCTCATGACAAAGTTCATATCCACCTAACACAAAACGAGGGCATTATTCAGTTAATTTGATATACTAAAAAGATAATCAGATAACCAGCTAGAGATTATGACACTTCTGAATTGGCTGTTACCCTCATGTCGACGGGGCTGGACCCGTGTCTGTGGACAGCAGTCTTTGAGAAGCTGCAGCGGGAGCCTGTGCAGGATGACTAGTGTTGCAGTGTCCTGGGGGTGGTGGGACAGGATGCTAGGAAGAAAAGGCGTCCGGCACCTCAGGATGCTCTGTCCGGGTGGCTCAGCTTGCTTCCCGTAGCCTCCCAGTCCTTTTACTGAAGTTTCAGGAGGTGATGCTTGGGACGCCAGGCCTGGCAGATTCCTCTCCAGGCTTCCCTTCACCCCGCAGAGCTTCCCCGCACTGGCAGAACTCGATCACTGCCACCCAGAGGGCATTGTCTCTGAAGAGGCATGGAGAGTGGGGAAGCTGCAAACCCCAGGCTGATGTTCTTGGTGTCCCCACAGCCTGCTTTTGCCTTAAAACCCCAGGTATACTCACAAATGGGTACAACACCCAAGAGGCCATTGTCAGCTCAGGGACTTGGTTTTAGGTGCGGCTTTGGGAACTTGCTTAGGTAAGTTAGCCTTGCTGGGTCTTATTTTCCACATCAGTAAGTGCCACGAAGCTTAACATTTATAAGCCAACAGAATGCCTCAATTTTAATTAACAAACATTAATTATCAATCATTTTTTACCTGGATGGAGGTTAATTCAAAGGAAAGGTATTAACCCAGAGGGTTTTTCTTTTTAAGAGTGTTATTGTGGTGCCCATGTCCCGGCGGGGAAGCTCTGAGCTTCCTCTGCCCAACTCTGCAGGCGACGCTTATGGCCCCGTCTGTGGCGTCCAGGTGCACCTGGACAGGTCTCCAAGGCAGCGCTGGAGCAGATTTGCAGCCACAGGGTGTGGAGAAATGCAAGATGAATTGAGACTTGATGTTTGGATAGATGTTAATTCCAAACTTGAGAACTGTCTTTGTAAAATGACAACAAAGACGTATCTGCCAATCATTGACTTCTTAATCACTGCCTTTGCTCTTTCAAAGCCTCAACATTTTGCAGTTTCAGCCAACAGAATTCTCTAACTTTGTAAACTGCTCTCCTGTGGCGACAATACCACCTCACTCTAATCAGTGAGAAGGGTGATTGTTCTCTCTTCCTTTCAGAGTAATTTAAATTCTTGAGAAACCACTTGGCATGTTTAATATTCTGGTCATACTGAAAATCCAAGTCTTGTTTTCCTGACCGTATTTCAGGAACTAGTTTAAGGACGGAATTATCTTTTAAAACCACAAAACAAAGATTTTTACACACTGAATTTCACAAAACTCAGTATTGCAGAATTGCAAACATGCTCTGTGACTCAGTCTCCAGGGCTTAACTTCCCCCTTGTAGTAACTTTAGAGGGTCCTGAAATTTTAGCTTCTTTAACAAGGGCAAATACTGGGAGAGAATGTAAGGGGAGGAAAATAAACAGAATGTCTTCTGTTAGACAAGCCAGCCTCTGGCATGTACACATTTGGCAGAGTTCTAATTTTGTTTGCTAACCTCCGATCACTACCTGAAATGGGTCTCTGCAGGATATCAAGGTGTCAGCAGCGCTGTGCTCCTGGAGCATCTAGGTGAGAATCCCGTCCCTGGCCTTTCCCAGCTTCAGGAGGCCACCTGCACTCCCAGCTCACTGTTCTTCCTTCTTTCCTTCCTCCATCTTCAAAGCCAGCGGCGTAGCGTCTTCCAGTCTCTTTGACTCTGACCCCCCGGCCTCCCTCTTTCACTTGTAAGAACTCTTGTGATTACATCATACCCACCCACATAACCCATCTTAACTTAATCACCCCTTGCAAAGTCCATTTTGTCGTGTGAGGTAATACACAATATTTATGAGCCCTATCAGTTTAACCAATTAGTAAGTGTGGTAGAGGAAATACAACGATGGAAGGTTTAACCTGAGGAAAGAAAAATAGCTCAGAGCAGTCTGAACTATTTGAAGGATGCAAAATGTATCAGGACATGAGTGTGGGACTAACTTCAGTCACTCTGCTCCCCATGCCACAGGGGCAATTGTTTAAGGCATTTTGTTCCTGACTGCTGTGTCACCCATTATTTTCATGTTTCTGGAGTCTGTGAGACAAAGAAAAATGTATAGTCAATCAATAGCTTACGTTGTTTTAATGTAAATTTTTGATAAACAACTCAGGAACTGCCCTTTCTTTCCTCCTTAAACCCCCCGCCCCCAACCAGGTACCTGCTGCTGGTTGGGTGCATACTCAGGGAAATTCAAATCTGTGCTCCCAGGTGGTCATCCTCAGGGCTTGTGCTCAAATAAACTCCATGCTAACTCGTATTTTCTGAATCTTTCTATCTAAGGTTGACAAACCTAAGGGGCATCATTCTAAAATCAGTAAACATGATTTTGCTGTAGGCTATTACAGGTATAGAAGGGAAGAAAAGCACAAGAAATCTAACCAAATATAGAGACTCCAGGTCATTCTATTAGAATGTGATGTGGTTTGGATCTGTGTCCCCACCAAAGCTCATGTGGAATTATAATCCCTGCTGCTGGAGGTGGGGCTGGTGGGAGGTGGTTGGATCGTGGGGGTGGAGTGCCCATTGCTGCTGGCGGTGGGGCTGGTGGGAGGTGGTTGGATCGTGTGGGTGGAGTGCCCATTGCTGCTGGAGGTGGGGCTGGTGGGAGGTGGTTGGATCGTGCGGGTGGAGTGCCCATTGCTGCTGGCGGTGGGGCTGGTGGGAGGTGGTTGGATCGTGGGGGTGGAGTGCCCATTGCTGCTGGAGGTGGGGCTGGTGGGAGGTGGTTGGATCGTGGGGGTGGAGTGCCCATTGCTGCTGGAGGTGGGGCTGGTGGGAGGTGGTTGGATCGTGGGGGTGGAGTGCCCATTGCTGCTGGCGGTGGGGCTGGTGGGAGGTGGTTGGATCGTGCGGGTGGAGTGCCCATTGCTGCTGGAGGTGGGGCTGGTGGGAGGTGGTTGGATCGTGCGGGTGGAGTGCTCGTGAAGGGTTTAGCACCATCCTCTACTTGGGACTGTATAGTGAGTGAGTTCTTGTGAGGCCTGGTTGTTGAAAAGTGTGTGGCACCTGCCCCCTCTCTCCCTTTCTCTTGTTCTGGCCAGGTAAGTTGTGTCTGCTTCCCCTTCGCCTTTCGCCATGATTGTAAGTTTCCTGAGACCTGCACAGAAGCAGAAGCAGCTATGCTTCCTGTACAGCCTGCAGAACAGTAAACCAATTAAACCTCTTTTCTTATAAATTACCCAGTCTCAGGTGTTTCTTTTTATCTTTTTTTTTTTTGAGACGGAGTTTCACTCTTGTTGCCCAGGCTGGAGTGCAGTGGTGCAATCTTGGCTCACTGCAACCTCCGCCTCTGGGGTTCAAGTGACTCTCCTGCCTCAGCCTCCCGAGTAGCTGGGACTACGGGCATCTGCCACCATACCCGGCTAATTTTTTGTAGTTTTAGTAGAGATGGGGTTTCAGTATGTTGCCCAGGCTGGTCTTGATCTCCTGACCTCACATGATCCAGCTGCCTCGGACTCCCAAAGTGCTGGGATTAAAGGAATGAGCCACCGGGCCTGGCCTCAGGTGTTTCTTTACAGGAATGTGAGAACAGGCTAATACAGAAAATTGGTACTGAAAAGTGGGGCATTCGTATGAAGATACCTGAAAATGCGGAAATAACTTTGGAACTGGGTAATGGGCAGAGGTTGGAAAAATGTGGGGGGCTCAGAAGAAGACAAGAAGATGGGGGAAAATTTGGAACTTCCTAGAGACTTTTAAATTGTTGTGACCCAAATGCTGATAGTGATATGGAGAGATGGGCAGGCTGATAAGGTCTCAGATAGAGATGAGAAACTTACTAGGAACTGAAGCAAAGGTCACTTTTGCTGTGCATTAGCAAAGAACCTGGCAGCATTGTGCCCCTGCTCTAGGGATCTCTGGAACTTTGAACTTGAGAGTGATGAGTTAGGGTATCTGGCAGAGGACTCCTGAAAGTGATTTCTGTTAAATCTCGCCCTGGCAATATTAATTACAAATTTACCTTCCAGGTACAAAACAAGGACAAGATGAGATTAGTCACTCTTCTGCCTACCCTGATATGGGCTACATAACTCTTTCCTCTACTCCCTCTTGTCAGATGTTTGCCTCATCTTATGTAAATTGTTGGTTTACTGAGCACTAATCAGAGCATCACTGTGGACCCCTCCCTTTTTTTCCTCCTGCTTGCCGTCTCCTCCTAAACACCCAGTCCCCATAACCCTATTTGGATGGCACAGTTGATGCTTCTGTGGCTTGCGTTTTTCCCGGGCCCATCATCAGACTTCTACTGATGGAGACATTTGCCTCAGTCACTCATTTTTGGTTAACTAGGAATCTCATTAAATGGATAGAAGTCGTTGAAAATATGGCTTAAAACACACCTCACCACATGCCTGCCCCAAGTTAATGAGCAGAGTTGATTACTGCCTGCTTGCAGAAGTGGGAAAGGAGGAGGAAAAGGAAATATACAGGGGGACAAATTTTTAAACACAACTTCAAAATATTACCCAGTCATATATGTATACACACACATAGAAAATTACACGGCAGATTACTTACAGTAGCGTGAGAGAATTTTTGAGTGGGTGGGATTCTTTACAGCAAGTTTTTTTTTTTTTGCTTCTTTGAATTTTTTTTACTCTTTTAGGTTTTTATATTTATAAAAGTTATATTTACTTTTTAAAAGTGTCAACCTTAATATTGAGATTCAGAAATATGATTACATATAGTGTGTATTTGAGCACAGAGCCTGAGAATGGCCACCTGGACAAATGGGGTCAGCCTTTCCAAGTGGAGCTCAGGTCTCTCTTACCAGGCGGAGACAGAAGCTCCAGCAGGATCACCACAGTTCTCATATGAGACCAGGGGCACACGCCGCAGCGGTTCCATTGGTTAGGGATCTCTGTATTTGAAGGAAGATTGCGTTATAACTCCATGAGGAGGGGTAGTGATCTGAGGGGGTCTTATCTCCGGTGCCATTTGGTCTTTATTGTTTACAGGGAAAAAGGCAGAAGTTACAGCTGGGTGTGGCATGACCTAGGCCGCGTAGCCACATTCCCCTCAAGGCTCAGGTAATTCAAAGTTCCAACAGCTTCAAGTTTAAATTATTTTAAGTTTGAATGATTTAATTTCACAAAAGGTAATATATGCACATTGACTGAAATTCAAAAGCACAAAAAGATATCCAAGGAAGTACCTCTCCCACTTCTACCATCTCTCATCTTCCAGCACTCCTTCCAGAGGCCTTGCGCTATGCCGGTTTTCTCATTTTTCCTTCCTGGGACAGTTTAGGGATTTTTCTACCTATCATTAAATTCGTATTTTACTCAAATGCAGGCATACGATAAACACGATCCTATACTTGCTTTTTCCCACATACTATATCTTGAAGATCGTTCAATGTCCATGCAAAGCTGACTGTTCTTTTGAACAGCCAGCGAGTATTCCATTACGTGAGCGTATCATGACCTATTTACTCAGTTCCATACTTCATGGGTGTTTAAATTGTCTGCAATCTTTTGCTATTACAAACGAAACCACAGGTCATTTTGCACACATGCAAAAATGCAAATCCATGGTATATTTCCCAAAATAAAAATCATTAGGTTTAACAGCACGAACACCTTTAAATTTGGAAGATATTCCAATTCGTTCATCCTAGAGAGTATACCAATACCACTCACAAAACTTGAGGGTGCCTGCTTCCCGACATTCCTGCTAGCAGTGTCATCAACCTTTGTGATCTTTGTTAACATATGAAAAGTGGTACTCTAATTTTAATTTTTATTATGAATTAAGTTGGACTTTCTTTCGTATGTTAAAGTCTATTTGCATTTCTTTCCCTGTGAACTGTTTTTTGCCTGTCTTTCTCCTGAGCCATTGGTCTCTTCCCACTGACTTATTACATATATGTAAAGGGAATATTGGCTCTACATTATAAGGAAATTCGAATTTTGTGATAGGTTTCAAATTTTTCCCTAGGTTGTCTTTGACTTCATTTGCTGTTTGTGCACACAATTTTTTTTTTTTGTAATGAGAGTGCGTTGCTCTTATTTTTAAAATGTTGACTACATTCTGGGGAAAGAAGGCTCAGCAGCCACCTGCTTTTTTGCCCGGGTGGGTGGTCCGGCCCCGAGCCCTCCTGACTCTCTCGCCAATGCCCAGAGGCGCCGCAGCGATTCCAGGGAGGCCGCGCTCTCGCCCCAAGGCAACCAGAAGCCCACGTGCCAGGAGAGGCATCGGAACCAACAACTCGGGTCCGTTTTCCCGCGCCAGATGGGATTCGTTTGCTGTGGACTTCCGGGGCGGGGCCTGCCTGGAGCGGAAGAGCCTGGGCAGTGCACGGGGCCTGGGTGGGGGGTGCGGGTGTGGGTGGGGACCTGCGGCCTTCGAGTCCGCGGCCTTCGAGTCCTGGGGCGGCGGCGGCGGCTGCAGGCACGGGCACGGGCACGGGGCGGGGTGCTTAGGGTGCAGGAGGCGCGCGCCTAGCGGCGGAGTGTGGCGTGAGGCCGGGCCCGCGCCGCCATGAACCTAGAGCGGCTGCGGAAGCGCGTCCGGCAGTACCTCGACCAGGTGGGCGGCCCCGACTCGGGGTGCGGGGCCCAGGCCTCGCCGGGTCTTTTTCCGCGCGGCGTGGGGCTGGGGTGACTGTTGTCGGGGCTCTTGGTGGGGAAGGACTGGGCCGGCCCTGGGCCTTCATCTGGGGCCAGCAGCGCTGTCTCCGCCTCGCCCAGAAGGGAGCGGTCCCTGCAGCTGGGAGGGGCACAGCCCGGGGAGTGGAGGCCCCCGAGCGCACGGGGCGCCTCAGTCGGGTCTGAGCCTCGTTCTGCACCTGGCGCGGAGGAGGTGCCCAGGAAACACTGACTACTCAGTGCAAGTTGAAGGACAATTTTTGGAGGAAAGTTGCAGGGCTAGCTAATAAAACATTTTTGAGAGGTTTAGTTGTAATTTTTACTGGGCTGAATTTAAGTGAATAAAGATGTGAAGAAGCCTGTTGTCTCAAATCAATACTTTAAAAATTCTCGTTAACTATGTCTGTGTTCTCTGCACTACCTTTGAATAGCAGAGAGCGTTTAAGGCAAGAAGTGTCTTCGAGAATCAGCAGCATCAGTTTTATCTATATTGTTGTTTATTTTTTGTTGAAATGCTTGCTCTTTCAGGAAATTGGAAAGAAAGGGAAAGAAAAGCCATGGTAATGCAGAGTTTTCGGAATTGGGTGCTAACTGACGTGGCCAAATGTTTGCAGTCCATTTGGAGGGCTGTGTTTTTATTTACCATGAGTCAGTTGAATTCAGTGTTTTCTGATCACTTTTTCTTCGGTACGGAGACGTAGTGAGGAATATGACAGGCCCGGTTTCCAGCCAGAGACACCGGTATTGAGCATATTTATAACTATCCCGTTGGCATTCCTCCTGCCTCGGGCTAGCAGCAGTGGTCCTGGCTTGTCTCCAGGGGAACTGAGGCAGAGACTGTAGAAGACTGAGGACTGAGGAGCAGAACAGGGTCTAAAGCTAGCCGTAGGTCACTGTGGGTGGCCCTCATTGTCGGCTCCTTCATTTTTGTTAGACTTGGAGGAGGTGAGTTCTTCCCCATGTTCAGTGAAGCTTAGTTAATTTATGTGTGTGTGTTTTTAAACTTGAGTGTTATTAAAACTGCCACTGTGTTATATAAGGTATTTGAGTATAGTGTTCTGTCTTCTAAATTTCACTTTGGGATTCATTAACAGCTCGTTGAAAGTGTTATATAAATCACACATGAATTGTTAATGACTAGCTTTTGCTGTTTCACTTGCATTTCACTTGTATGTTTCACGATACATTTTTACAGTGTATGAGTTTTAAAAAATTACCTTCATAAGTTGCATATACAAAGATATTACAGGAATGTTTGTATTGCGACACTGAACTAAAATTTACCCTACGTGAGATGTAAGATAGAGATGTAACAAATTGTTGTCTTGAGATGAAGATTTATTACATAGAATTATATTAATATATTACATAGAATTATAATAATATTAGATAACTGTTTAAGACTATTAAAATAACAGGGCAGTTACCACCTTTTTTTTTTTTTGGTATGCAGCAACAGTATCAAAGTGCTCTATTTTGGGCAGATAAAGTAGCTTCACTCTCTCGTGGTAAGTGACAAAATGCTAACTGGTTTTCTGATTAATCTTAAAATTCGTTTTCTATTTCACCTTGTACCTCTGACCACTTATGTGAATTTTTCCCTCCAGAAGAACCCCAGGACATCTATTGGTTGGCTCAGTGTCTTTACCTGACAGCACAATATCACAGAGCCGCCCATGCACTTCGGTCACGAAAACTGGACAAAGTAAGTGATGGTATGAACTTTAAAGCTCTTCAGAGCTTTAAAAAAAATGTCATTAGTGGCCGGGCGCGGTGGCTTACACCTGTAATCCCAGCGCTTTGGAAAGCCAAGGCAGGTGGATCATGAGGTCAGGAGCTCAAGACCAAGATGGTGAAACCCCATCTCCGCTAAAAATACAAAAATTAGCCGGACGTGGTGGCAGGCGCCTGTAATCCCAGCTACTCGGGAGGCTGAGGCAGAGAATTACTTGAACCTGGGAGGTGGAGGTTGCAGTGAGCTGAGTTCGTGCATTGCACTCCAGCCTGGACAACAGAGCAAGACTCTGTCTCAAAAAAAAAAAAAGTCATTAGGGTTTTAGGTGTATATTCCATTTCTGTTGAAATTATTTAACTTGATGCAATTTTTCTTTGTTTTTGTTTTTTTGAGGTCTCTCTGTGTCACCCAGGAGTGCAGTGGGATGATCGTGGCTCACTATAACCTCAGACTCCTGAGTTCAAGTGATCCTTCTGCCTCAGCCTCCCTAATAGCTGGGACTACAGGTGCATGCCACCACACCCAGCTAATTTTTAAATTTTTTTGGTAGAGACAGAGCCTCACTATGTTGCCCAGGCTAGTCTTGAACTCCTGGTCTCAAGCAGTCCTCCCGCCTTGGTCTCCCAAAGTGCTGGGATTATAGATGTGAGTCATCACAGTAGGCCCAGTTTTTTTTTAGTGAAAGTGAAGGGAAAATGTCTTATACCTAATCTGTCACCTTCTTTTTCCCCCATCTCCCATCTAGTCTCTAAATTCTGAAGACTGTTTTCTAAACAGCTCTGGAATCATGGATATTCCTCTTCCTCCCCACTCGTACGTGTCAGGCCTTTGATTTTTTTGTCTGTTCTGTTACAGCCTCTCTTCTTGTCTCTTTTCCCCAGTAACAGTTTCTCTCTTCTTATCTTCCCTGTCACAAGTTCATCTTGTGAACTATTACAGGAGTGAGTAGTCTTTAAAACACGGATGTGGTTATATTCCCACAAAGTCATTCAGTGACTTCCCATTAGCTGCAGGATAAAGTCAGATGCATCAGTAGGTCTGTGAGGCCCTCCTTGTTTTCTCTCCACTCTGCGTCTAATCCACCACCATCAATACCTGGAGCACGTGCTCCAGTCACGTGGTGCTGCTGTGAGCTCCTTGGACACCCAGCAGTTATTCACACTCAGGGCCTGAAGTGGAGCTGCTGCGATCTCCTTGGACGCCCAGCAGTTATTCACACTCAGTGCCTGAAGTGGAGCTGCTGTGAGCTCCTCGGACGCCCAGCAGTTATTCACACTGAGGGCCTGAAGTGGAGCTGCTGCGATCTCCTCGGACGCCCAGCAGTTATTCACACTCAGTGCCTGAAGTGGAGCTGCTGTGAGCTCCTCGGACGCCCAGCAGTTATTCACACTCAGGGCCTGAAGTGGAGCTGCTGCGATCTCCTCGGATGCCCAGCAGTTATTCACACTCAGTGCCTGAAGTGGAGCTGCTGCGAGCTCCTCGGACGCCCAGCAGTTATTCACACTCAGGGCCTGAAGTGGAGCTGCTGCGAGCTCCTCGGACGCCCAGCAGTTATTCACACTCAGGGCCTGAAGTGGAGCTGCTGCGATCTCCTCGGACGCCCAGCAGTTATTCACACTCAGTGCCTGAAGTGGAGCTGCTGCGATCTCCTTGGACCCCCAGCAGTTATTCACACTCAGTGCTTGAAGAGCTACCCAGTGCTCCACTCCTCTGCCTGACCACTTACTCGCTGCCTCACTTACTCGCTCTCCTGCAGATGTTTACTTCTCCACCTGGTTGATGCTTTCTGTTGCCCCGTTTCGTCATGCTTACCTGTTGTGCTTAGTTCACATCTCCCCTACTGTAACCTCCTGGGGCAGGGCCTTACTGCTTTTGAATCCTTGGTGCCTAGTAAACAGTAGGTTCATAATAAATATGGTTTAACAGGACTGGATTTTTTTTTTAACTGCAAGAGTAAAAGGAGAAATTATGAAATTAGTTCTATTTTATGCTTATGGCTTTCTTTGAAAGTGAAGATACATATTATTTTGACCACTACTTAAACAAATTAATTTCTTTCCTAGTTGTATGAAGCATGTCGTTACCTTGCAGCTAGGTGCCATGTAAGTATGCTCATAATTTCATTTTTATTTGGTTGAATAAAATGAGTGTTATGCATCTCTTAAATATGTGTGAGAATTTTAGTGATGGAGCTTAGCAGGTTAGTAAAGTATTTCATGAGGAAGTGTTCCTTTCCTTAGTCATGTTTGCTATAAAATACTGATTCTTCGTTTACCACATGCTGACATGCATGAAGAAAATTCTACTTTAGACATTTCACATTTAAATAATGGGCATAGTATATGTTATCCTTTAAAAATTCGGATCATGTGTTTCGTGTTAGAAGTCGTGAGTGATGAGCGGCACTTCTGTTTTCCACGTAGTATGCTGCAAAAGAGCACCAGCAGGCCCTTGATGTTCTTGACATGGAAGAGCCCATCAATAAAAGATTATTTGAAAAATACTTGAAGGACGAAAGTGGCTTCAAAGATCCTTCCAGCGACTGGGAAATGTCACAGTCTTCAGTAAGTAGTACTGTGAGCACAGCTCAGTAACGGCGGCGAGAATTGCCCTCATTACGTGGCAGAAACACATTATCTTCTTTTACTTATTACTATATTAAAACAATTGTGGTTGCCAATTTATTTAATTTGCCCACCAAAACCAAAAAAGATTCTGAGACATTTCTGAGCCCTTAGTTGCAAGCTGTAATTGTATCCGCAGATGCCTGCATCCAAAATAGGCTGGCTTGAAACTTCCTTCTCATATTTGATGCCTTAAGCTACTCCCTAAAAGTGGAATAATTTTTCTTCTCCTTTCTGTGTTTCAGCAGTGTTTTGGACCTACACCAAGAAACTTTGATTAGCGTACATTGTTTCTTTCCAGGAAATGGTTTTGTGTTCTGTTTGCTTCAAAGTACATTGCTATGTAATTGTGTATATTTCAGTTTGTATACTTCATATCTCCATGAAATTGCACATTCCTTGCTGGCAGACATCATATAGTAACTTATTAAGTGACATTTACAGATCACTAATCTGGATTTAAAAAAAAAAATAAAAACTTATTGAGGTATAATTTATATGCCATGCAGTTCCCCCATTTAAACTGTATGGTTTGATTCCTTTTAGTGTATTCACAGAGCTTTGCAAACCTCACCATGGTCAATTTTAGAATATTTTTATTATTCAGAAAGAATCCCTGTAAGCCTTACCTGACCTACCAATTTCTCTTTCTTCCCACATCTTTTTTTTTTAAATTAAGACAGGGTCTTTGCTTTGTTGTCCAGGCTGGAGTGCAGTGGCACAATCACAGCTCACTGCAGCCTCAACCTCCCAAGCTCAAGTGATTCTCCCACCTCAGCCTCCCGAGTAGCTGGGACTACAGGCGCCCGCCACCATGCCCGGCTAATTTTTTGCTATTTTAGTAGAGACGGGGTTTCACCATGTTAGCCAGGATGGTCTCGATCTCCTGACCTCGTGGTTTGCCCACCTCGGCCTCCCAAAGTGCTGGGATTACAGGTGTGAGCCACTGTGCCCGGCACAGTTGGCTAAATTTTTTAAAAAATGTTTTGTAGAGACAGGGTCTCACTGTGTTGCCCAGGATGGTCTCAAACTCCTGGGCTCAAGTGATCCTCCTGCCTTAGTTTCCCAAAGTGTTGGGATTACAGTCATGAGCCACTGCACCTGGCCCATTTATTTATATTTTTGGTAGAAGTTTATTACTTGACTTTTCACCTTAGATAGTTATTTTTAAGCATAAAAGAATATTACACATTCTAGGTTTTTGTTTTTGTTTTTTTTTCTGGCCACTCATTAATGTATGTGTTGGGAAGCAGATTCTTCTGTTAAGAAATGCATTTATGAAAGTGTGTGGTACAGTCATTATTTTGGGACCTCTTATCCATTAACTTATTTGCTATGAAATGTGTGATTTATTTGCAACGCATTATTATTTATTTTGTGAAATTACATTTTTAAAAAACAACTCCTAGGATATTGCTTAGTTCGAAGACTCTCATAATTCATTATTTTTTCTAAAATTTTACTTTATGAATCTTCTTCATATCCTTAATGATACTAGCTGCCTGTTGCTGGATCATCTTTAAATTCAGTTATGTGTTCGAGGTCCAGAGTCTAGAATGTGCATCAGATTTCCACATCTTCGTGTTTATGGTAGTCGTGAGATGGCTGTTGAACGCCTTACTATGTGCTAGCACCACAGAGATGGTAGCATCTCTAGCCCTCACAGACTTCTATAAGTTAGATAGTAAAGAGTTCTATAAGTTAGATAGTGTTTTTATCTTTTTACAGATGAGGATAGGAAATGGAGGCCAAGAGAGGTTCAATCACTTGTCCGAGGTTACAAGTAATTGGCAGAGCTGGGGTTTGAACTCAGGTCTGTGCTGCCTCAGCAGGCCATTGTGCTGACTGCTGTGACCACTCTGCTGCATTGCTGCCAGTTTCTGCTCATTAAGATCCTTTTGAGGGGTGTCTGCCTATCACACTGTCAATCTTGGAGTTTTATACACATGCACACACACTCTGCCATCTCTAAATCATTGCACTGTTTTGGACAAAACAGGTAATGAACCTAGTAGCCGTGACATGTACTTTTGTTATAAAGATGTGTTGGAACAGAGCAGTTGAAGCCCAGGGAAGGTGAATTGAAGAAGCTTTGCTGTGCATTTTTTGTGTGTTTTTATTTATGCCTTGACAGTTGTGATTGACTAAATCCTTTTAAATGCAATAAAAACTTCTCAGCATTCAAATACACAATTCTCTATCAAAAGTTAAGTTTAAGGGCCAGGCATGGTTGCTCATGCCTGTAATCTCAGCACTTCGGGAGGCCAAAGTGGGAGGATCACTTGAGGCCAGGAGTTTGAGAGCAGCCTAGGCAACATAGCAAGATTGTCTGTACAAAAAATTTAAAAAATTAACTGTTTGTGGTATTGTGCACCTGTAATCCTAGCTACTCAGGAGGCTGAGGCAGGAGGGTCATTTGAGATCATAGGAGTTCAAGGCTGCAGTGAGCTATGATCGCACCACTGAACTCCAGCCTGGGAGACAGAGTGAGACTCTGCCTCTAAGGAGAAAAAAAAAAAGTTAAGTTTAAAAGTACTGACTTAATATGTGACTCATCATTTTTCCAACAGATAAAGAGTTCTATCTGTCTTCTACGCGGGAAAATCTATGATGCTCTAGATAACCGAACCCTGGCTACCTACAGCTACAAAGAAGCTTTGAAGCTTGATGTCTACTGTTTTGAAGCGTTCGATCTTTTAACATCACATCACATGCTGACAGCACAAGAAGGTTTGGAAACTCAGGCTTTTTTGTTTTATGTTTAGCAAAATTAATATTGTTTGGATTTTTTGCCTCTGAAATCTTCTAAGTCAACAACAGGCCACATACAGGTTTAAATAGACCTACTCACTTTCTTAATGTCTTCAAATGTAAAGCACGTTGCAGAATGCAGTATTGTACGGTGCCTTGTGCTGTCCGAATCTAGGGATTGTGATAGGAAGAGGCCATCTTTTTGAGAAGTGATTGAGATAGTATAAACCAGGATTTCAGTATCTCATGCAGTGATTCTCAACCGTGTTGCTCTTTACATCCTTGGGAAGACAGAGAAACATCCATGTCCAGTTCCCAACTCCAGAGCAGATGCTTTAAAGCTCCCAGGTGATCCTAATGTACCACAGGCACTGAGAATCAGTCCAAGTATGTTGGCAGTGGTGTGAGGTGCGTCAACAAGGGAAACAGAAAATAGAGTGGTTGGATTAATGGGATTCTAACATATTTTAGCCTAGTGCAGTGGTTCTCAACCAACCAGAGTGATTTTGCCGCCCCCTGCCCCGGGAACAGTTGGCAATGTCTGGAGATGTTGTTTGTCACAGCTTAGGGGCAGGGAGGGAGGTTGAGAGGTTGCTGCTGGTATCTAGTGGTTAGTGGCCAGAGGTCCTGCTTAGCACCTGCAGTACACAGGCTCCCCTGTTCCCAGCAGAGCAAGATCCACGCAGTCAGGAGTGCGGAGGCTGGTGGTTCTTAGGTGACAAGAGCCACCTGGGGACCTGCCTCAGCCCTGAAAGAGTAGCCTCCACCCACCAGATGATTCCCGTCTTCAGGCCTGGAGCCACTGTGTCAGCTTCTGTTGCACATTTTGATCTTATGTTCTCTTTTGAGTTTGATTTACTTAGACCAAGAACTGTAGAATCATATTTTTAGTTGTTGGCTTTTTCCCCTCTATAAATATTATGAGGATATTCTTTTTTTTCTCACCATTTTTAAGAAAAAGAACTTCTTGAATCACTACCCCTTAGCAAGCTGTGTAATGAAGAACAGGAATTGCTGCGTTTTCTATTTGAGAACAAATTGAAAAAAGTAAGTAAAACCAAAGAGTTAGCACTTGCTTTATGTAAATATCTTATTCCATAAAATTTGGCATCTAGTCTTATATTAAGTTTTCAAAATTAAAACTTTTTAAATTTAGCACATTTTTAAGAATAGAGCGTTTAAGATACATAAGATTCCAAAAAAAAAAAGCTTTCAAAAATACCTTTTTCCTCTGAAAGACTCCTTATACTAAAAGATTGAATTACCAAGTAAATGTAAATGGAATGGTGTTGCATGGAAATGAAGATTTTTTTGTTATGCTTCCTGAATGTTTACTTTGAGAAATACGTCCCGCTGTGGAATTCTGTTCTAAAATTGAGAAGGGAATTAAACTTACTGAGAGGAGTACTTATAAAACCTAAAGTTATAAGTTTTCAGAGGCTCTCACATTTGTTCTTGTAAATGTTTTAACCACTTGGGCCAAACACAAATTGAATCCACATTTTATTTTGTTTTTGCTCATTGAGTTTATGTTTACATTTCTATGTGTTTCAGTATAATAAGCCTAGTGAAACGGTCATCCCTGAATCTGTAGATGGCTTGCAAGAGAATCTGGATGTGGTAGTGTCTTTAGCTGAGAGACATTATTATAACTGTGATTTTAAAATGTGCTACAAGCTTACTTCTGTGTAAGTATATCCATCCATTTTTCTGTAGGAACATGGAGTTCACTCCATCTTACCTAGGTGATTCACGGACGTGCTCTCTGAATAATCTTGAACTAGATGATAATTTAAGTTATCTTTACCAATTGTAGAGCACTGAACAGGGTGCTGTCTTAAAAGAGCAATTTACAGACATGAATTTGTGCATATTTGTAGATTTATTACATTAACTTGGGAGGGATATACATGTTGCTCTTACTGATCTTGATAATTTGCAAGTTTGAAAATTCCATTTTGGCACATTGTTTTGTAAAATTTATTCTCAATTATGAGACTCACACTGTAGATACTAGGTGTTTAATATGCTGCACGCAGTAGCTAAGCCATCTCCCACATGTATCAGTTTTCCAGTGTACCTAATTTAAACTTTAGCTAAATGACATATGCTATTTTTTGTAGATCTTGGTTCGGTTTAAAATCCTTGAAATTACAAAAATTTTAATTGGCAAATACACATAACCTATTTATTAGTTTGGTGCAAAAGTAATTGCAGTTTTTGCTGTTGAACGTAGTGGTAAAACTGCAGTTATTTTTGCACCAACCTAATAGGATTTCCTGTTGGTTTTGATTCTTTTAAATAAGCGGCCTACTTATTTTATGTATTACAATTCTGTTGACTTAAAGTAAATGTATGTGATAATGTTTATTTTTATTCCTTTCAAATAAACCAGAATTTTTTCTTTCATTTGTAACTTAATTATGGCCTTAACTGAATCAACCTGAAGATAATGGAGTGAAGAAAGTGAAGTGTTACAACCCACAGCATCATATGTGATACCATAATGACTGTCTACACATAGCCGATCGTCGTGAGTGCTGTCACCTGCTGGTTTGGGGGTAGTAATGTGTCGCTTTAACTTTCAGAGTAATGGAGAAAGATCCTTTCCATGCAAGTTGTTTACCTGTACATATAGGGACGCTTGTAGAGCTGAATAAAGCCAATGGTAAGACTTTTTTTTAAATTAAAGTAATTCTTAGACATAAAACAAATCTTTTCTGTAACTTGAAATTTTGTCTCTGAAATTCTGGATAGTTGAGATTGCAGGTAACAACATAATGGAACCCTACTATAAAAGTAACAACTGGGGAGGAAATGTTTAGGAAAGTAGCAAATGGCCAATTTTGTTTTCCCATCAGAACAATTAGTTCTTTATCACTGCTTCCTACTACCTTTTCTCAAATATCATTTATGTTTCAAGGTTTGTTAGCTTTAAATTGTTGGGTGTCAGTTCTGCCTCCCCCCCCCTTTTTTTTTTTTGTAAATTCCACTGGAAATCTGATATGGTAAGAGTTGATAACTACTTAGAAATTGGAAAGGAGCAGATTGTTTGCTCATGTTTTCCGTATTTTTAACATTTGACATTTAGTTGTGTTTGGGGATGCATTTGTCCTTAAATTTTTCTAAACTGAATGGTGAGCTCTGTCAGGAAGGAAAACCCTCACCGAATCCCTGCTGCTCAGAGTGTGGTTCGTGGACCAGCAACATCGCATTTGTGGAAGCTGGTTGGAAATGCAGCATCTCCAGCTGCTCTGGTCTACTGAATCCAAGTCTGCATGCAGGAAACATCATCTTGAAATGCCAGGATTTACACATTTCTCAAGATTAAATAGTATCATTGATCTGATAAACTTGAAAGTTTGTTCAGCCAAATTGGTTGTGGGTGATTATGATGGTCCATAATGGGCCCTTGGTGTGACAGGCATGAGCTTCTAAGAGAGGTGAGGTGCTTTGCTGTATCCTCTGCAGTATTCGGGAAGTGCTGTCTTAGGGGGTGTCTGTTCCCACCTTGCCCACAGTGTGTCCTTCATCTAACTCTCCAGTTAGAGAGTTAATTTTTTATCTAGAAGGAAAGACAAGTATGAAATCATTGCTGTAAGAGCAGAATTATATGATTGTGAAGAGTTGTAATGAAATCATGTCTTAAATTACATGTGATACGAACAATTGTTCTTTTTCTGCTTTTTCCTGAACAGAACTTTTCTATCTTTCTCATAAACTGGTGGATTTATATCCTAGTAATCCTGTAAGTAATATAACTTTTAGTCTTAGTTTTTTTTTTTTTACCTGTACTTTAAGAAAATGCTTAACTCGTATTTAGACAATAGCTTAAGTTCAAGCAAATGATGTTTTATTAAAGTGTTGCAACAGAATCTCCTAGTGTTTATTGTACTTACAAAAGCAGCATTAACTTTTCAACCCATGAAGGTATTTTTTAATTATACCAAAGCAAAAAGGTTTTTAAACCCTTTTTTCTGATTATAGAAGTTATACATGCTTATTTTAAAATACTTAGCGTATAGCAATATAAAATACTGACCATGACAGTCACGCCTCCCTTTCCTAAGAAATGTGGATAATTGTTTGGCAGCTTTCTCACATTGCACATGTAAGACAACCTGTTGAATTGTGTACTGATTCCAAACTGTCATGGATCGGAATGGAGAACTAGGAATGGAAAATGGAATCAGGGACTGCGTCTTTAAGGACAAAATCAGGAATCAGGGTGTAAGACTCAGACGACAAGAATTTGCACCCTATCCCAGTGTGAAACCAGAGCAAGAGAAAACCAGCTAAATAGTCAGAACTCGGACAGAGAGCAAGGAAGAGCCAGGGTCAGGCTGGGGGAGATGAGCAGTGCAGGGGAGTCAGGACTCACAGGCTGGTTTTTGAAACAGGGACTCCTCAGGGGCCTTGTCTTGTGTAGACGTCTCCTTGAGAAAGAGCCATGGAGTGTCTGCCCTCTTCTCTTGGACCTTAGTAGACTGTATTAGAGAAATGTCTAACTTAACTAGAATATGTGATAAGGAACATGTAGTATACCCTCTGTCTACCCTAATTTGTTGCAGATTCCAATTAGATATTCCAATTCCAATCTTTGTTTATGGTAAATTTTGAACTTTTTAGGTGTCTTGGTTTGCAGTGGGATGTTACTATCTCATGGTCGGTCATAAAAATGAACATGCCAGAAGATATCTCAGGTATGAATTTATTTTTTTCCTCTCTAGTTAACCTGTAGAATTGATGTCTTGCTCATAAGCTTTCAAGTAGTAATTAGTGAGTACTTTAAAAGCAATGTGAAAGAATAAATGTTTTTTTTTTTCTTCCTTTCTTTTCTTTCTCTCTTTCTTTCTTGCCTTTTCTTTTCCTTCTCACCTCCCCTCCCCTCTCTCTCGAGGGTTCTCACTCTGTTGCCCAGACTAGAGTGCAGTGGTGCAATAATAGCTCACCTCAAACTCAAATGATCCTCTTGCTCAGCCTCCCGAGTAGCTGGGACTACAGGCACCACCATGCCTAGCTGATTTAAACATTTTTTTTTTTTTTTAGTAGAGACGAATCTCACTGTGTTGCCTAGGCTGGTCTTGAACTCCTGGCCTCAAGCAGTCCTCTTGCTTCGGCCTCCGAAAGTGTTGAGATGACAGGCATGAGCCACCATGCCTGGCTGAATAAATGTTTTCTTCAAGTGGTTTGTTCTTTATAAGATGCCATGGGGAGAGAGAGAAAAAAAAAATCAGTGATGTAGACCCTATTCTCAGGGAACCTACATATTTTATTTATTAATGAGAATAAATGGCCAGGCATGGTGGCTCACACCTGTTATGCCAGCACTTTGGGAGGTCAATGCAGGTGGATCACCTGAGGTCAGGAGTTCAAGACCAGCCTGACTAACATGGTGAAACTCTGTCTACTAAAAATACAAAAAATTAGCCAGATATAGTAGTGGGCATCTGCATCCCAGCTACTCGGGAGGCTGAGACAGGAGAATCGCTTGAACCTGGAAAGTGGAGGTTGCAGTGAGCTGATATCGCACCATTGCACTCCAGTCTGGGTGACAAGAGCAAAACTCTGTCTCAAAAAAATAATAATAATAATTAATAAATGAGAATAAATATGAAACAATAGAGAATAATGTAGTTTGAAAGTTTCTCTCTTTCGCTTACAGAGATCCTGTTAACCTTTTACTTTTAGGATTTCTTTTATTAATAGTTGTGAAATTACACAAAACTTTATGTAAAATTGGGGTCACTAAATGTGACTATAAAACAGAATTCTTAGCAGGGTGAACTGATTCATGTAATGATTTGCTGTGGTTTTAACTTAAGGAAAGCCATGCAGCCTAGTGAAGCTATTTAACCAGTATTATTCAAGTTTAGAAAAATGTCAAGTATGTGAAGAATTAATTACTTAAACTCTGTAAATGTTCTAATTTCTGTGGTTTCTTCCGTGCAAATAAAACAGAATTGGTCTCTAACGGAAACAGCATAAACTTTGGAGTCAAATTTGAATTCTAATCCAAGTTCTGTGACTTACCAACTGAAATTCCTTGGGAAAGTTAATTTCTCCTGCTCTCTCTTTCTTTAAAAATGGGGATGTCAGCCAGGCGTGGTGGCTCACGCCTGTAATCCCAACACTTTGGGAGGCCGAGACAGGCAGATTACCTTAGGTCAGGAGTTCGAGACCAGCCTGGCCAACATGGTGAAAGTCTGTCTCTACTAAAAATAAAAAAATCAGCTGGACATGGTGGCATGCACCTGTAATCCCCGCTACTTGGGAGGCTGAGGGAGGAGAATTGTTTGAGTCCAGGAGGTGGAGGTTGTAGTGAGCTGAGATTGCACTACTGCACTCCAGCCTCGCCGACAGAGTGAGACTCTGTCTCAAAAAAAATAAAAGGGAGTGGGGGTGGGGGAGATGTCATACTCATATAGCAGGATTGTTAGGAAGACTGATGCCACGAAAGTACCCTGTACTAGGAAGAAACTAGAATGTTCCCTGGTTGGTTGTATGTTCAGCATTTTAGAAGAACTTCTACATAGAAAGATGATTAGTATTGTAAAAGTTATTTTGAGCTATGCTGCTTTGATCTAGCGTGCAATTCAGTGATGGACTCTTATCAGTGGTCCCCAACATTTTTGGCACCAGGGACCATTTTGTAGAAGCCCCCCCTCCCAGGGTGGGGGGACTGGTTTCTTGATGATTCAAGCGCATTACATTTATCGTGTGCTTTTTTCTATTATTATTACATTGTAGCATATAATGAAATAATTATACAACTCACTATAATGAAGAATCAGTGGGAGCCCTGAGCTTGTTTTCCTGCAACTAGATGGTCCCATCTGGGAGAGATGGGAGACAGCGACAGGTCATCAGGCATTAGATTCTCGTAAGGAGTGCGCCACCTAGATCCCTCACATGTGCAGTTAACAATAGGGTTTGCGCACTTACGAGAACCTAATGCCTCTGATCTGACAGGAGGCAGAGCTCAGGCGGAAATGCAAGTGAAGGGGAGTGGCTGTAAATACAGATTAAGCTTTTTTTTTTTTCAAATGGCAAGTTCTTTCTTGACATATGAAGCTTTACTCACCTGCCTGCCACTCACCTCCTGCTGTGCCGCCTGGTTCCTAATAGGCCAGGGACTGATACCAGTCTGTGGCCCAGGGGTTGGGACCCCTGCTCTACATGAAACAGGTAACATTTGGATAAAAGAAAACTTAAAATACAAGGAAGTAGGGTATCACCCCCTATGTCTTCCACGTTTTGTGATATGTTCTCTTTATTCCTTGTGGGTTAATTATACAGTGTTCACTGTATACAATTATTCACTGATATATATGAGTCCAGTCCCTGTAACCAGGGTATATCTGTTGACCATCATCTATAGGATATCGCCTAATCCCTCAAGCCTTGGTATACCTGTCTTTAAAATATAAATGAATTTATCTTGCAAGTTATTAGGATGAGAGGATGTATCTACTAGGTTACAAAATGGAGCTCCTGGATTAAGTAATATCTGTAAGTTCTATTTAGAATGCTAATGGGTTTTGCTACAGTGCATAAAAAGCTGTGGATCTCCTCAAATTTCTTAAAATTTTGCTATACTATTAAACAGTTTTAGTTCAAATGAATCAACACAAATGTTACATTAGTGTTTAATGTGGTGACAGCTTGTTTACTAAATGGATGTTAATGTTTTTGAGGCCATCTCCTTATATAAAATTAACAATTCAAGAATAAATACTAGCTGGGCACAGTGGCTCGTGCCTGTAATCTCAGTGACTCAAGAGCCTGAGGCAGAAGGATTACTTGAGCCCAGGATTTTGAGGCTGCAGTGAGCTATGATCATACCACTGCATTCCAGCCTCCAGCGACAGAGCAAAACTCTGTCTCTAAAAATAAAAAATAATAAATAGGCTGGGCGCAGTGGCTCACGCCTGTAATCCCAGCACTTTGGGAGGCCAAGGTGGGTGGAGCACCTGAGGTCAGGAGTTCAAGACCAGCCTGACCGACATGGTGAAACCCCATCTCTACTGTGAATACAAAATTAGCCGGGCATGGTGGCGGGTGCCTGTAATCCCAGCTACTCGGGAGGTTGAGGTAGGAGAATTGCTTGGTATCTGGAGGCGGAGGCTGCAGAGAGCCGAGATCGCACCACTGCACTCCAGCCTGAGCGACAAAGTGAGACTTTGTCTCAAAAAAAAAAAAAAAAGAATAAATACTATATGACTTAAATTAACTCTTTTGTTTTAGCAAAGCCACAACACTTGAGAAAACCTATGGACCTGCATGGATAGCCTATGGACATTCATTTGCGGTGGAGAGTGAGCACGACCAAGCGATGGCTGCTTACTTCACAGCAGCACAGCTGATGAAAGGGTACGGCAGAGCAAACTCATCAAACTCCATGAAGGGATGTTTTTCCTAATAGAAATGAAATTTCTATTACTATTACTGCTATTTGGTTGCTAAACTAAACACAAACATTTTACTTGCCTTTTAATCTAGTTGCTTGTGATTGTAAAATAACTATGAAAGTGGAGGGGAGAGAAGCTGGTGTATGCATTTGCCTAGCAGTTGATTCCAACCAGTGCAAGAAGCAACCAGGAAATTAGGCCAGTGGAGGAGAGGAGTTCTGGAAGCCCTTCCTCACATGCTCATGCAAGAATAAAAATATTCACGAGCAAAATTATTATATCTTATCTATTACCAAAAGGTATTTGATGTGGCTTAGTGGTAGGTGCAGGACTGTATTTGCCAGTATTCTAGATTTATATCAATATTAAATGTATTGAAACTAAGAATGTGTTACTTTGAGGAGTAGAGTATTGCTGTTCACATTGACTGTTTGGTCTCACCATCGGTTACAACTTACAGGGTTGGTTTGTGTGGACTGCTTCTATTGACTGATGACTGCATCCCTGCCTGGAGAGGTAGTGGGAGTGCAGTGGTCCAGAGGCCTGGTCTGGAGTCATACCTCCTGGACTCTTCCTGGCTCTTCCACTCCCAGCCATGTGACGTTGGGCAAGTTTTTTAGCCTCCTGAGAAATAGGAATAATAGCAAAATTTACTCACTGGCTTATTGTGAGAAGTAATTGAGATAATACCAATTAAAGACTTTGAAGAGTGTCTTACACATAGAAAGCACTCAGTGAAAGTTAGCTACTTGTGTTTATTTACTTGTATGCAGGGGTGGAATCATATATTTATCTGTATTGAATGTCATCCTGTTAGGTTTGGTCTCTTTGCAAACTGTTAGGCTCTTTTTGTCACTCAGTTCTGCGTTTAAATTAGTACCCACCTCAGTCAGTAGTCATAGTAACTTGGTAAGTATCATAGCTCCTTAGCTGTATTAGTCAGTAGGGCTGCCATAACAAAATACCACAGACTGGGTGACTTAAAGGACATTTATTTTTTCATAGTTGTGGAGGTTGAGAAGTCCAAGATCAGGGTGCTGGCCAGTGCAGTTCCTATTGAGGAGTCTCTTCCTGGTTTGTAGATAACTGCCTTCCTGCTGTGTCCTCACATGGCAGAGAGAGCTCTGGTGTCTCTTCCTCTTGTAAAAACACTAGCCCTATTGGATGAGAACCTTACACGAACCCTATTGGATAAAAGCCTTACACTAGCCCTGTTGGATAAGAGCCCTACACTAGCCCTGTTGGATAAGAGCCCTACACTAGCCCTGTTGGATAAGAGCCCTACACTAACCCTGTTGGATAAGAGCCTTACACTAGCCCTGTTGGATAAGAGCCCTACACTAACCCTATTGGATAAGAGCCTTACACTAGCCCTGTTGGATAAGAGCCCTACACTAGCCCTGTTGGATAAGAGCCCTACACTAGCCCTGTTGGATAAGAGCCCTACACTAGCCCTGTTGGATAAGAGCCCTACACTAGCCCTGTTGGATAAGAGCCCTACACTAGCCCTGTTGGATAAGAGCCTTACACTAGCCCTGTTGGAAAGGAGCCTTACACTAGCCCTGTTGGATAAGAGCTTTACACTAGCCCTGTTGGGTAAAAGCCATACTCTTAGGACTTCATGTAACCTTTATTATCTTTTCATAGGCCCTATCTTCAAGTACAGGCACAGTAGGGGTTAGGGATTTAATGTATGAATTTGGGGGGCAGAGGGGACACAAACAGTCCATAGCACTAATATATTACTAGAAAATAACCTTCCAGAGTAGAGTTGCACACCCAGTTATGGATCCACCTAAATGGTCCTCATACTCAGTCCAGGTCTCTCCATCCTGTTCACCAAGATGAGTGAGACCTTTTCCAGTTCTCTTCTGAAGCTCAGCTCCAGTATCTGCATATTTCCCCTATGTATCAATATGATAATTTGTTACCAAAAAAAAAATCTCAATAATTCACTATGAGTTGGTTTTTATGAGCATATGCTACAGTCTGGTAATTTTTATTTGATATTTTGGGTTCTCAGAAACAGAATAGTTATTAGTTAGTTCCTAGCTGGGAATCAGAATCAATGATAATTAATGACACAATACCTTCAGTGTTTCCAAATCTAACAAACTTTGTCATTAAATTCTCACATTAAGCTAGGTGTGGTAGCTCACACCTGTAATCCCAGCACTTTGGGAGGCTGAGGTGGGAGGATTGCTTGAGGCCAGGAGTTTGATACTAGCCCTGGCAACATAGTGAGACCTTATCTTTACAAAAAAAAAATTTAAAATTAGCTGGGTTTGATGGTGCCTGCCTGTAATCCCAGCTATGCGGGAAACTGAGGCAGGATGGTCACTGTGCCACCACAATCCAGCCTGGGTGACCAGTTGAGATACATCTCAAAAACCTCATGATAGCTCATCAAGATAAGCATTATTTTTCTTTCAAGTTTACTTATCTGTCAGAGCAGCTCTGCATTTTCTTAACTTGTCTGTGTTTGGATAAATGTTTGAAATTGGATGAATATTTTTACGTGTCCTTTATGATTTCTTTTTTGAGTCATTGGTTATTTAAGAATATGTTGACATTTAACTTCCACATATTTAAGAATTTCCCAAATTTTCTTCTTTTGTTGTTTTTTAACTTAATTCCATTGTAGTTAGAGAACATACTTCGTGTGATTTTAGTCCTTTTAAATTTATTGAGGCTGGCCGGGCGCAGTGGCTCACACCTGTAATCCCAGCACTTTGGGAGGCCAGAGGGGTGTGGATCACTTGAGGTCAGGAGTTCAAGACCAGCCTGGCCAATATGGTGAAACCCCATCTCTACTAAAAATACAAAAATTAGCCGGGTGTGGTGGCTCACGCCTGTAGTCCCAGCTACTCGGGAGGCTGAGGCAGGAGAAGCTCTTGAACCCAGAGGCAGAGGTTCCAATGAGCTGAGATCGCACCACTGCACTCCAGCCTGGGCGACAGAGTGAGACTCCATCTCAAAAAAAAAAAAAAGAAAAAAATTATTGAGGCTTTTTTATGAGCCATTCTATAGATTGTTCCAGATTATTTGAGAATTCTGCTCTTGTTGGGTGAAGTGTTCCATAGATACCTGTTACATCTGATTTTATAGTGTTGTTGAAGTCTTCTCTTTCCTCATTGATCTTCTACTTATTTATTCTCTGCATTATTGCAAGTGAGGTATTAAAGTCTCCAGATTTTATTGTTGAATTGTGTATTTCTCCCTCCAATTCCGGCACATTTCACTTCATATATTCTGAGTCTCTGTTGTTAGGTGTGTACATGTTTATAATTGTTGTATTTTCTTGATGGATTGAGCCTTTTATCATTATAAAATATCACTAATTATCTCTAATAATACTTTTTTTTATAAAGTCTGTTTCATCTGATGTTACTGTAGGCACACCAGCTCTCTTTTGTTACTGTTTATATGGTGTGGTTTTTTTCATTCTTTTAATTTCAACTTGTGTTTTGAATCTAAAGCATGTCTCTTGTTGACAACATACAGTTAGATCCATTTATGTTTAATTACTAACAAGATAGGATTTATGTCTGGCGTTTTGTTCTTTATTGTCTATACATCACATCTTTTGTTCCTGTATTTCTTCTTTTGTGTTGAGTAAATATTTTATAATGTCCCATTTTAATCCCCTTTTTTTATTATACTATATCTTTTGAGTTATTTTCTTAGGTTGGTTATCTTTAGGATTATAATTAGCACCTTAATTTAAAACGACCTACTTTGAATTAATACCAATTTAATTTTAATAGTACGCCCAAACCTTACTCCGATATAGCTGTTTCCTCTTGCCTCCTTGTGCTGTTAGTGTCATATAGAATACATCTTACACATTATAAGTCCATCAGCACAGATCTGTTATTATTATTTATTCTGTTGTCTTTTAAATCAGATAGAAGAGTTAAAAACAAGCACATTTTATACTGTCTCATAATTACCAATGTAGCTATTTTTATCAGACTCTCATTTCTTCGTGTTGTAAACCAAAAATAAAATTTGAAGACCCTCCCCAACCATCTAAATGGGCTTCCTCCTCTAGGCCAGGGCCGTCTAAATTTAACCTGAAAGACTGGTTCAGGCCATGATGGGAAGTGGGGGTCCAACACTCCTCTTTACGCCCTCCAGCATTAACATCAAATGGACCTTCAGTCTGATAAGAAGAAACACTTACCATCTATCCTCTCTGAAGCCTGCTACCTGGAGGCTTCATCTGCATGATAAAATTTGGTCTCTGCAACCTCTTATCATAACCCAGACATTGCTTACTATTGATAATAACTCTTTCAACCAATCAGAAAAATCTTAAATCTACCTGTTACCTGGAAGCCTGCACTTCGAGTTCTTAGAGTTTGACTCTTCTGCAACAATGTGGATTTGAATTCCTATGTAGTATCCTTCTGTTTTAGCATAAAGGACTCCCTTTAGTATTTCTTACTGGGCAGATGTACTAATGACAGATTTTCTCAATTATACATTGTTATTATTTATGTAATTTTGTTTTTCAAAGAAGCTGTGAGGAAAGAAGGTGTATATACTTATATCATTTGTTATATTAACCCTGTTATTTACCATTTTCAGTTCTCTTTGTTCCTGTGGGTTCAAGTTAACATCCAGTGTTACTTTCCTACTGTAATACAGCTTTGCTGTCACCCGCTTCCTATTACACTGTTACTGGTAAACCTTACATTTCTGTATATGATAGGCCCAACAATATAATTGCACATTGAGTATCCCTAATCTGAAAATCCAAAGTTCAAAATGTTCCAGAAGCCCAAACTTTTTGAGCACTGTCATGACACTCAAAAAGAATTGCTCACTGGAGTATTTTGGATTTTCAGAATAGGGATGCATAAATTCCAAAATTAAAAAAAAAAAACCTGAAATCCCAGACACTTCTGGTCTCAAGCATTTCTGATGAAGAATACTCAACCTGTACATAGAGTCTCACTCTCTTGCCCAGGCTGGAGTGCAGTGGCACCATCACAGCTCACTGCATTCTCAAACTCCTGGGCTCAAGGGATCCTTCCGCCTCAGCCTCTCAAGTGTCTGGGACTACAAGCCCATACCACCACGCTTGGCTAATTTTTTATTACTTTTTAGAGATGGGGTCTCACTGTGTGTCATAAACTCCTGGGCTCAAGCATTCCTTTCACCTTAGCCTCCCAGAGTACTGGGATTACAGGTATGAGCCCAGGGGGCTCTTTTAGGAGCTACCAGACAGGTCAAATAGCAGCAGTTCCCTGTGGGGTGTTTGAGGAACTCTAAATTAATTCTGCTTTCTCCAATGGCTGCTAGGCTAATGGCTTTACAACGGCTGTTGTTATGAGACTGCTTGTTTTTAAGGTTAATGCAAAGCTAGGGAAAGGGAGATGGGAATAAGACAAGTTAAAGCAGCACAAAGTTGTTCTTACTGAGATTTAGCCATCTTTTCTTGAATATACACTCCTCAGATTGTTTTAAGAGCTTGGTTACCTTCCAAAGTTCTGAAAAAATTGGTTTTGATAATTTTTGCCAGTGTTGTTGTTGCTTCTATGGATGAATAGATTTTTGGAGTCCTTATGCTGCCATTTTGAAAGTACTTCTACCAGGTGTAAATATTTTTAAAGAATTTGTCATGACCTTCTGTAGAGGATATAATCTTAATTTGAGTTATGACTCTAGATTAGAACCAAAGCACACACCAAGCAATCAGTATTTATTGATGTTCTGAGATCATCATCAAGGAAAGATTGTCTTATTACACTTGCTTTAATGCAATCACTGATCCCAATCGTGTGAACAGATGAAAATTCAATTAAAAAGTAGTTCTGACTCTGCCTAGAACTGTCTCAGAAGGTGGGAAAATTGAATCAATACACAGGGCATTATTCATAACTCTTCTGCATAGAACTGATTATAATGGGAATTCACAGAAGGGAGAGCATTTATGTTAGAAAAGTCAGAGGTAGCTTCATAAAGGGAAGTAGAAGTTGAACCCAATCTTGAAGGATAAATGGTGGTGAGTAAATAAGAGGAAGACCAGTGTCGGCTGGGGCATGACATTAGCATCAAGGAGGAAGACAGCACCACAGAGACCTGCCCTTTTGCTTTAGAGAGTTTTTGTTTTTTTACTGTGGAATAATAATGAAAATTAAAGGTAAATAAGTTGCAGATAGATTCTAGAAGTGGCAGCTGATTAGTCCAAAGCCCATTAGGCATTCATTAAATATTTGTAAATTAAGAGAAAAAAGTAAATGCTGTGTTTTGGCTACCTTTAAATTATTTTGCAGATAGGATTTGAAGTTGACAGATTAATTTCTGCTAAATCACAGTTTTTGGTGTTGAATATGTGAAATTTTCCAATTTTTTAGGTGTCATTTGCCTATGCTGTATATTGGATTAGAATATGGTTTGACCAATAACTCAAAACTAGCTGAAAGGTTCTTCAGCCAAGCTCTGAGCATTGCACCGGAAGACCCTTTTGTTATGCATGAGGTCGGCGTGGTTGCATTTCAGAATGGAGAGTAAGTACTGGAAGACCAGAAACCCTTCTGTTAACTAGTGATTGTAAATACAGTAGGTGATCACTAGAGTTCACTGACAAAAGCGACTCTTCAGTAGATTTGTACTTTTAAATGTTCTATTTTAGGAGAAGGAGATAGAAAAAAAAGAGAGAAACTGTTATCTTGGATTTCCTTAAAAATTCTAAACCCAGGTTTTGGTCTTTTTTTGATCTGAGCTACCACTTCTTTTCTTACATGATTGGACAGTTCAGATTACACATACCCCACAGTGTGGCTGGGGGCACTGTGGAATCCTTAGTTATCTCTGTGTTGATAAGGAGTTGAATTTACGTATTTGAGAAGAATTTGACATGGTTTTTGAAACAAAAGTGTTTTCTATTTAGTTACTAGTAAGTCAGAAAATTTAATTCCTGGTCAGTGTAGGCTTTACTGTACTCTAGAATATTTGTAGAATAAGTGATTTGGTGTTATACTCAAAGAGAAAAATGTATGTAATCCTTTGCATTTCATGATATACAAATTTTAAAATGGTAAATTAGTTTCAGTTTTTTTTGGTTTTTGTTTTTGTTTTTTTGAGATGGAGTCTCGCTGTGTTGCCCAGGCTAGAGTGCAGTGGCGCATTTTCAGCTCACTGCATTCTCTGCCTCCCAGGTTCAAGCGATTCTCCTGCCTCAGCCTCCTGAGTAGCTGGGATTACAGATGCCCACCACCACGCCCGGCTAATTTTTGTATTTTTAGTAGAGACAGGGTTTCACCATGTTGGTCAGGCTGGTCTCGAACTCCTGACCTGGTGATCCGCCTGCCTCAGCCTCCCAAAGTGCTGGGATTACAGGTGTGAGCCTCCACGCTCGGCTGTAAATTAGTATTAATACTACTACAGTGTCATTTATGGCATGTATGTGTTCTAAAAAATGGGTTATCTAGGTATTTTTTAAAAGTTTGAAGCTTTAAAATAAATAGTAATCTTTTAATATAATACAGTAATCATCAGTATTTGCGAATTTGCCTACTCATTAAAATTTATTTGTAACCGCCAAATCAGTTCCTGAGGTGCTTTCTGAGCCATTGGCAGACATGCCCAGGGCTGGGAGAAAGCTGGGTCTCCTGGCACACACACTTCCAGCTGGAGTCTAAGAAGGCAACGCTCTGCCTTTTTTCCCAGTTCAACTATAAACCAGTGTACTTCTTGTGGTCTATTTAGTGCCACAGTTTTCACATTTTTGTGCTTTTTGTTGATGATTTCACTGTTTTGAAATAATCCCCAAGCTTAGTGAAATGCTATCTAGTGTTAATTGTGATACACTTTTGTGTTACAGAGGAAACACATGTATTAGAGAAGCTTCATTCAAGCAGGCATCAGTATTTATAGTGCTGCTGGCCCTGACTTCAATATTGATGAATCAACAATATGTATCAAATAAGACGTCTTTAAATAGAAACACACATAAAACAAGGTTACGCATTGATCAATTAGAGAAAATGTGACCAGAGAATTGCAGGAATCTAACTGTATTTCCCCTGGCAGCCGCGGTTCAATATTTGCTAACTCAGTGTACACAGTGACTTTATAGAACATAAATACTGTGGTTGGGTGCGGTGGCTCCCGTCTGTAATCCCAGCACTTTGGGAGGCCGAGATGGGCATATTGCTTGAGGCCAGGAGTTTGAGACCAGCATGTGCAACATGGCGAAACCCCATCTCTACTAAAAATACAGAAATTAGCCAGGGATGGTGTTGTACACCTGTAATCCCAGCTGTGTCAGGAGGCTGAGGCACAAGAATCACTTAAACCCGGGAGGCAGAGGCTGCAGTGAGCTGAGATCGCACCACTGCACTCCAGCCTAGGTAACAGAGTGAGACTCTTAAAAAAAAAAAAAAAAAAAAGGAATATAAATACTGTATCTCCCAAAATCTTGAAATCTTGAACTCTTGATATTAATGCCGTAAAATTAATCATTTGTGACTTAACTTTGAATTTTTATAATTATTTCCAGCAGTTTACCCCATTGCATTTTAGTACTACTAGAAAGGTAATCAAAAATTTTTTTAAAGTTTATATTTGCTAATTTCGAATAATCTGCAACCTTTTTTCCTTTCATTTTAGATGGAAAACAGCCGAAAAATGGTTTCTTGATGCTTTGGAAAAAATTAAAGCAATTGGGAACGAGGTATTCTTTGTAGTACCTGTAAATATACACATATACACCCCTGAGTGTTTACTGTTAAATGAGGAAAACAACACAGAAATCTCTTGCCTTCGAAGATAGTAACCTGATATTTTCATAACAAGCGGCTGTTAATGTTTGCATTGTCAGTTAACTGTTTTACCACATGGTAAGAAATGAGTTTTTTCCCTAAGAGGGCAAGTGTTGGCGTTTGCTTCTTAAATGGGCTCTAGCTTTGAAACGTGAGAGGCATCAGAATAGATTGGGTGATTATTTGAAGCTAGGAATAGTCATTGGGTCACGGAAACAATTGGGCACTGTAGCGTCAGATGTAATATTCCTCTAGAACTTCAGAGAGCTTCTTTGACTGAAGGGTAAATAAAGTATAGCAGCAGGTCCCACTTCTGAAAGGATAGGGATGGGATAGGTATTACTGAAATTCACACCTTTTGTTGCTGTTACTGCATACTGAGTGTGTATTTGGGCCTTTCCATTTTAAAATATTTGACTGCTTCTGTTGTATGAACGATCCCGTGAATTGGTGCTTATGAGTTAACCTAACAATTATCAAGGATGTGTATATACTGATATTACTTAAAAGTAGTAACAGTTTTAGATACCATAAACTTGCATAGTAAGAGATTTGCATGATGCTCTTCTGTTTCATTCGTGCCTGTTTTGTTTCATTCTATTCTGATTTTCACTTCTCAGCTTCCTGCTGTTACTGTTTGTGCACACCTGCCCACAGTTTTCTTCTCCCTTGGCTGTTAGCTCTCTCTGCTGTTACAGACACAGCTTTGCCTCCCTGCCAAGCGATCTGCCTGTCCCCATAGACACAGCTTTGTTTACTTTGGTCTCTCATGTCATCTGAACTTATAAACACTATTTCTGTGTTTGCACATGCGTGTATATAAAGCAGGTGCCTCTGTCGCATAGTCTTGGGTAGTTCTGGATAATCCAAGTGTTTTGTTAATAGGGGATTGCCACTTGCCACCTTGTCAGTTTTCTAAGAAGTGACTGCCTTATGCCCCAGACGGGCTCAGCAGCATCAGCATCACCTAGAAGCCTGCTAGAAGTGCAGAATCTCAGACCAACTGAATCAAAATCTGCAGTTTTAGCGTGATGCCCAGGGGATTATCACGCACAGAAAAGTTTTGAGAAGCACTTTCCTAAACCATACTTAAGTTGAGCCTGTATTCTTTGATGATTAAGGGGCACTAAATTTAGAGTCTTACAGAAACTTAATGGTTTTAAGTATGAAAGCACAACACTATTGAAATGTCAAAATGCTCATTAAAAAGTTATACGAAGAGGGGGAAAATATTGACTTTATTAGAAACTGCAGCAAATGTCAAAGAGAAACAGTCATGCCTAAGAGTCATTAAATGATTTGTTTTTCATTCACATGGGCTGTGCCTCCTAGAACTGGTCTCAATAGAGTTAGAGAATCTGTGGCTCAGGTCTGTTCATTCATTTAGTTGACATATATTTAATGAGTGTCAGCCATGCCATAGGCTCTGAGCTAGGCCTTGGGATGCAAAGGGGAATGAGTTTACTATTTCCTGACCTCAGATCAACTGGCGAATGTAAGTACGTAAATTGACAGTGAAAATACGGTGCAATTGAGGAACTAAAGGTGCCCACAGAGAAAGGCAGTTCACCCAGAAATGAGCCTTTTGCATACACCTCAGTCCTGAAAGTCATCAGACATCAGCTAGGCAAAAATTAGGGCAAGGGTATTCCAGTGTTTGCAAAAATTGGAGCTAATTCATTATGGCTTGGATTTTGAGTTCACAGAGAATGTCAAGGAGTGGGTCAGGAGGGTTAAGTGTGGATCACTAAAGGCCCAGAATGAAAGAGTTTGTGCCTTATCCTGAGGAGAATGGGAAAACAAAAGGGATTTAAGAAGGAAACAACCCGGTCAGACTTTTATGATTGGGGCCCAGATTTGACTCTGTTAATGAGGAAGGTGAGGACTAAATAGGTTGGAGTTATGCCTAGCAATTAGAAGGAACCAGCCCTGGTGTGCCTCATGGAAGGGTCAGAGGGGGTGGGGGTGCCATTCACTGACTGGAGGGGCACTCAGAAGCAGTGAGGTCAGGGGCTGGGATGGCCAGGGAGAGATGGGTGTGGTGTGTGGTGCACTAAACTTAAAGTGCTTGTAACATTTACAAGCAGAAGTATTTAGCAGGCAGATGGATAGAGAGGTCTGGTGTTTGAGGGAAAGCTCTGAGTTGCAGATACTCATTTGAACTCCAGCAGGGATAGGCTCTTGGATAAACTTGTCCTAATGATAACAGAGTCCTCAGGAAGTCTCCTAGTAGGAAAGAAAGGGAGATAGATAAAACAGCAGTTACCCTGGCCTTGTGGTGTGCTGGCGGCACACACTGGGAGAGAGCCCAGCTTGCAAGGCGTGAAATAATTCAGTGCAAACAAATCAGGCTGAACAGTGACATATATAACTCGTGGGCTTGATGTTGCTATGTTTTAGGTAACAGTTGACAAATGGGAACCTTTGTTGAACAACTTGGGGCATGTCTGCAGAAAACTTAAGTAAGTGAAGTAGAGCATTTTCAGAAATATACTTTGTGTCTCAAAGTTTACTTAATTTTGAATACTTTGTCATATTCTTATTTCATGAGATCAACCAGCTTTCTTGTACTTGGCTGCTCAGATAAAATCAGCATCAAATCAGTTTTTATTATTTATCTGTGTTGGTGTAATTTT
Source organism: Homo sapiens (assembly GCF_000001405.40). Classification (NCBI taxonomy): domain Eukaryota; kingdom Metazoa; phylum Chordata; class Mammalia; order Primates; family Hominidae; genus Homo; species Homo sapiens. The sequence continues at coordinate 114,262,123 of NC_000013.11, forward strand.
ATTTTAGAAACACATTGAGAATTTTACTTTTTTATATGAAAATTTAGTGTTCAAAATTAATTCAGAAGAATTAGGACAGTAGGATATAATTAAAATCCTATCCATAGTCTGTTTTCTGCTAGAGGTTTTGTGGTGTGATAAACAGGCGACAGTTGAAAAATGGGTTTTTTGGTTAAATATGTCTGGGCAATTTTAGGTTATTCAAGATTTAACAAGTATTTCTATTGCAGGATTTCTTTGAGTCTTTACTATGTATTACGAACTTATAGCATTTTCCAAAGTTTAATTGAGCATAAAACATTTTTTTCACAAAAGACTTTACAAGTCAAGTATTCCAGAGAACTTTAAGGAGCACTTTTCTAAGTAAATCTTTTGGACCTTAAAGCGATACTCCTTGACTGCTTTTATCTACCCCTGATATGGGACACTGACTGTCACCTAAGAGGGTGGTGTGTGGTAAGGGCACAGCCAGGAGGCATGGATTAGGTTCTGGTTGCAGTGTCCCACTGAACATCAAAAGGAATACAGCAGACATCCCTGCAGGAGTGCCCTTGGCCGGCGGAGGGAGTGGGCCTGGAAGATGCATTTAGAGGGCATATTGAGATGCATGAGAGTAGGTGTGGAGAACATTCACCAGTCTAGACTGCTGTTCTCATTGAGACAGCGTTTCTTGGGTGTTGATATGGATGGTTGCTCATCTTAGACTTAGGAATTTAGTGCTTTTACTGTAGCCAATAATTGTGTTCTCTCCCACAGAAAGTATGCTGAGGCCTTGGATTACCACCGTCAGGCACTGGTGTTGATTCCTCAGAACGCATCCACCTACTCTGCTATTGGATATATCCACAGTCTGATGGGCAACTTTGAAAATGCTGTGGACTACTTCCACACAGTATGTCTTTTCTTTGTACCTAATTTTAAATCTGGTTAACATTGACCACTTCCTTTTTTGAAAATATTTTTTCTAGGTAATATTGACTTACTATTTTAATATTCTTTAGGCAACCTTACGTGTTATTCTTTTCTTTGCAGAGAAAAGCATGTGGGTGTTGTACAGTATTCATCAAATTAGAAACAAACATGAATCCTGTCCTTAGTGTTTGCAGTGAGGTGCGCAGGTGCCCAGTGGCACTCACCAGTGATCTGAGTGCTGAGCACGGGGTTATCTGTCCACAGTAGCCCCTTTGGGAACTCGCAGTCTTTCTGTTCATGACTGTCCCCTTAGATCACATTAGTAGATGAACAAAACAGTCTCTGCAGTCATCACAAGGAAAGAACCTTTCATTAATCCATGTACCATATTCCATCAAATTTAAGACACCATGAGTAAGCAGGATGACCACAAAGAAAAAAGTGCTGCCAATTAAACTTTAACATAATTTTTTCCCGGCACTTAATTTTTTTGTACTTAGAGAAAATATTCTTGAACATATTTAGGCAGATTTGTATTACTCTAGTACATACATAGAAATGTACATATAAGTGAAATAAATGGTTACAATATTCAGCCCAGAGGGCCAGTATCTGTGTTTTCTCAAAATAGTGCCCTGGTGCTAGCACACACGCCCAGTTCCTGACTCTGGGTTTCCTCCCAGCCACAGACACCTGCTTTCCAACTCTCTCTCTCTCTCGTCCCTCTCAGTCTGCTAAAGTGTCAACAGAAGGTTTTTAGAAAACCACAATTCCCGCATCTGTTTAAGTGTTCCTCGCATGGTTTGTGATCTAGTCTGTGCTGCCAACATAACCACCAAGTTCACGCTTCTCAGGCAGGTTACCCATATCACAGTGGTGGCTGGTGGATGGCAATAATAGGAAACCACAGGTAAAAGGGAAGCAATGTTTGAATTTGAGAAAATGTGGGTCTTAGAATCAGTGAACTAATGGTATTTGGAGAAAGAGATAAAATATGAGAAAATTTATCAAAGATAAACTCATGAGCGCTTCGTAACTGATTTTCAAGAGTTCATTAGAGATTTTGAGGTTAGATGAAGTCATGAAGGTACCATGATGGTCACCAGAACACTGAGTTTGTCAGAAGTTTGGACTAAGCACATTTTCTAGTCCTGTATGATCTTTTAAATATGTATATTTGAGTATTGTATAATTTACCTTTCTTCTGAGATCTGATTAATACAGAAGGCTCAGCTGGGCGCGGTGGCTCACGCCTGTAATCCCAGCACATTGGGAGGCCGAGGTGGGCAGATCATGAGGTCAAGAGATCGAGACCATCCTGACCAATATGGTGAAACCCCGTCTCTACTAAAAATAGAAAAATTAGCTGGGCATGGTAGCACATGCCTGTAGTCCCAGCTACTAGCCCTGCGCCCGGTCCCAGGCTGAGGTAGGAGACTTGCTTGAACCCGGGAGGCGGAGGTTGCAGTGAGCTGAGATCGCGCCACTGCATTCCAGCCTGGTGACAGAGCGAGACTCTGTCTCAAAAAAAAAGGAAAAAAATACAGAAGGCTCAGAGAACTCTGTATGGAGATAGAACTTCTTTTTTTTCTTTTGAGATAGTATTTTGCTTTGTCGCCTAGGCTAGAGTGCAGTGGTACGATCTCGGCTCACTGCAACCTCCACCTCCCAGCAGTTTTCCTGCCTCAGCCTCCAGAGTATCTAGGATTACAGGCACCTGCTACCATGCCTGGCTAATTTTTGTATTTTTTATTAGAGACGGGGTTTCACCATGTTTTGGTCAGGCTGGTCTCGAACTCCTGAGCCCAGGTGATCCACCCGTCTAGGCCTCCCAAAGTGCTGGGATTACAGGCATGAGCCACTGCGCCCAGTCGAGATAGAACTTTTTAAAAAATCTTTTTTGGGGTAGATTTCCAGCATAAGAAAATAGAATAGTGTGATGAACCTCCATGACCCATAACCAACTTCAACAATCTTTGGTTCATGGCCAGTCATGTAGCTATGTCTGGCCACTTCCCCCACCCTGGATGCCCTGGAATATTTTGAAATGAATCAGTGTGGTAAGAGAAGGAAATATGTTTTCTTTTAATAACCATGCTGAATCTTTTATGGCAGGCCCTTGGTCTTAGGCGAGATGATACATTTTCTGTTACAATGCTTGGTCATTGCATCGAAATGTACATTGGTGATTCTGAAGCTTATATTGGTAAGATAATCGTTATTCTTATTGGTATTGTACTCCATTTTTTAGGTTGTCATATGTCTCTGTTTATGTTTCTCATATTCTCGTCTGAGGTTCCAAGTTCATCTTTCTAACCATTCGTGCTGCATTAAAAACAAGAAACTCCATTTATTTTATTAGAACAATGCTGTGGGGGAGTTAGTGACTCACCAAGGGTGCGTTCAGTTTAAAGCTGAATACTTGCTAAGTGCAAAATACCACTATAGAATATGTGTAAAGCACTTTGTTATAGAAGGACTCATCTGTTTCTATAATGGGAAAAGAAATCTTAGCAACATTTTTCTGATAAACAATTGAAGAGGCTCTGTCATTATTTTATAATGCAGGGTATAACAATATAAATCTTTACATTTCAATAGAATGTTGAGATGCCATACATTTCCATAACAGTGAATAAGTAATAGTATAAGTTTGGATGGAATTGCTGTACTTGGGCACTCGTTTAGTTATAAACATTATGTGATAAGGAGGATGTGGTGAGGTTATTGAGATCTAGGATAGGAAAGTTGCAAGCTTGCTAACTCCCGTTCCTACTAAAGTAATTTTTTTTTTTTTTGAGATGGAGCTTCGCTCTTGTTGCCCAGGCTGGAGTGCAATGGCGCAACCTCTGCCCACCGCAACCCCTGCCTCCCTGGTTCAAGCTATTCTCCTACCTCAGCCTCCTGAGTAGCTTGGATTACAGGCATGTGCTACCACGCCTAGCTAATTATGTATTTTTAGTAGAGACTGGTCTTCTCCATGTTCAGGCCAGACTGGTCTTGAACTCCTGACCTCAGGTGATCTGCCTGCCTCGGCCTCTCAAAGTGCTGGGATAACAGGCATGAGCCACTGCGCCCAGCCCCTACTAAAGTAATTTCTGATGTAATTTCCCCCAAAGTCAAAAAGATCAGGTAATGTGATACAAAACAGAGCAGAGCCTTAGATTTTGAGAGGGATCTGTCTGCTTATGTGTCTTGGGGTTCCCTGAGGAAAACAGAGGTTTCTCCTAAAACGGGGTCTGTGGCACCCTCTGGTTTTCCCAAGGAGCCCGAGGCTGTCAGAAATTACCTTGGGTCCTCTCATGTGGACATCCAGAGTGGCGAGAAGACAGACTGGGGAACTAATCTAGCCAACTGAGAAGAAAAACAAAAAATGAGTAATACCCATTGTAAAGTTGGATAAACTGAGGCACATCACAGTTTAAAAATGCATGTTCCCATAGGCTCCACAGCTCACTCTCTTAACCATCCTGTAATTGTGCCTGCTCTATGCCCAGTCACTGATGCACTTGTGTGGTAGCTCATGGCACACCTAGCAAACAGTTTCCCTGCCCCCTTAGAACCTGGGTTTCGTTTCCTGCTCTACGGCAGTATAAACAGTTTTTCTCTGCATGTGTTGGGTTCTAACCCTATATATCTCAAATTTTATTAATATTACTGAATCTTTTTTTTTTTTTGAGACGGAGTCTCGCTCTGTCGCCCAGGGTGGAGTGCAGTGGCAGGATCTCTGCTCACTGCAAGCTCCCCCTCACCGGGGTTCATGCCATTCTCCTGCCTCAGCCTCCTGAGTAGCTGGGACTACAGGCACCCATCACCACGCCCGGCTAATTTTTTTGTATTTTTAGTAGTGATGGGGTTTCACAGTGTTCGCCAGGATGATCTTGATCTCCTGACCTTGTGATCCGCCCTCCTCGGCCTCCCAAAGTGCTGGGATTACAGGCGTGAGCCACCATGTCTGGCCAATATTACTGAATCTTACAGGGGGCTGTGATGTCTTTAATCCTTAGAAATATTAATCTATAGACAAAGGAATACATGAGGTTAAACAGTATTCACATTTCTATATGCTTTAAAACATTCAGGCAATGTATTAAGAAACACACCTAAGAAACTGCAGTGAATCTACTCTGGATGAAAATTTAGAGAATATCTCTTCAAAAGAAGCTATCTAGGCCGGGCGTGGTGGCCCACGCCTGTAATCCCAGCACTTTGGGAGGCTAAGGCAGGCAGATCACCTGAGGTCAGGAGTTCAAGACCAACCTGGTCAACATGGTGAAACCCTGCCCCTACTAAAAAACAAAACAATACAAAAAAAAACTGGCCAGGCATAGTGGCAGACGCCTGTAGTCCCAGCTACTCAGGAGGCTGAGGCAGGAGAATCACTTGAACCCGGGAGGCAGAGGTTGCAGTGAGCCAAGATTGTGCCACTGCACTCCAGCCTGGGTGACAGCCAATCTCAAAACAAAAAAAAAAGTGCTACGTATTGGTAGTTATGCATATTCTTACATATATTAACAGTATTTTACATGCTTAAAACCTTAAAAATAATTGAAAATGTCAAAATTATATGCCATATACATTTCTGTGGGCTTGAAAATGATACAATATAGGTTGTTTCTTTAAAGCAGTCACTAAAATGTGTAAACTTCTAGATAGAGTAATCACTAAAAAGGAAAGTTCATACCAAAAGTAGTAATACTAGGAATAAAAGAGGGCTCAACACTGCCTTTGGGAGTCCTCCTCCCATGAAACATGGCTGGATTTTTCTCCTTGTCCTGTGTAACCTCCCTTACTTTATCATAGTTTACTGCCTTAGTTACTCTCTCATTCCTCCAAGGAGAGCCTCAAGAAATTTAGGTAACACCAGAGTGTGGCCCCAGCCAGTTGCCCTCAGTTACCAAGGAGCAATTAGGTAGGAAATGGCCACTGAAAGACTGAAAACAAGAAAAAAACTCAGGTCCCTCACCCAAACTGGGCAGTGGTGGTCAGGCTTCCACACGGAAACCTTTCACTGTCACCAGAGTGTCCCCAGCCAGAGACCTGCAGTTGCCTCTGTGCTTAGATGCTGTCCACCAAGGGTCCCGAGTTGGAAAAGGGAAAGGGGGGGGAGTTCCCCTATGTAGAGCAGAGGGATCCCCACATGGAGATAGCTCCAGCTCATGCCTGCAAATGAAGGCTCTCTAGAGAGGGAAAAGGGAAAAAGAAATGAAAAATAAATCCCAAAATTTGGGCTTACCTCCCGACTGGCTCACCAAAATATGTTACTGGTGTGGAAGGTCTTCACTACAAGTTGTCCAGGTTCTTGGCATGGTGAACAAAGATTGAACAAAACAAAGCAATGGAACATGAAAGCATAGGTGTATTGAAGTGAAAGTATACTCCACAGAGTGAGAGGGGCTTGAGCAAGCAGCTGATGAGCCCCAGTTGGGGTTTAAGTACCCTTAGGGGTTTCGTGTTGGTTACACCCTATGCAAATGAAGGATTGGTCTGTGGCAGATCAGAGGCTGAAGTGAAGTTACACCCTATGCAAATGAAGACTGTGACCAATCAGAGGCTGAAGTGAAGGCTCCCTGTCTTTAGACCGTATTCTGCCTCAGTTAAGAAGCAAATAAAGGCCCTCAGGGAAATGAAATTAAAACCATAATGATGGTGGTGTGTGCCTCTAGTGCCAGCTACTCAGGGGGCTGAGGCAGGAGGATTACTGGAGCCCAGGAGATCAAAGCTGCAGCGATCACGCCACTGCACTCCAGCCTAAGCAGCAGAGTGAAAACCCTGTCTCAAAAAAGTAATAATAATAAATAAAACCTTAGTGAGAAACCAGTACACACCCACCAGAATGGCTGAAAGTACAGGATGTGGTGTTGGTGTGATGTGGAGCAACTTGAACTCTCATAGATTCACTGCTGGTGGGTTATAAAAGGGTAAAGCCTCTTTGGAAAACTGCTTAATATCACAATAAAGTTAAGCCTATTATATCAGCTCTCTATTGCTGCCTAACCACTCCAAAACCTCAACCAACAACGTGTTATTTTTACAATTCTGTGGGTTGAGTGACCCATTTGTGGGTCTTGTCTAGGTTTACTCATGCAGCTGTGGTCAGCAGATACTTGACTGGGTAGATGGTCTAAAATGGTACCATTCTCCAGTAGGGAGCTCAGCTTGGGTGCTGAGTCTCTCTCTGTGGGGCTTTCATCTTAGGTTTCTTTGTAGCACGATGTTCCCAGGGTTCTAAAGGACAAGAACCACAGTTCAGGACCTCTTGAAAATTCAGAGTTGCACAACATCACTTCCGTCACGTTCTGTTCCATCAGTACAAGTCTCATAAGCTCAGAGTCAATGTGGGAGGGGGCTGTACCAGGGTGAGGGTGCTGGGAGGTGTGATTCATTGGGGTGGGTATTAGGGTGATGATTGACCATACTGATTTTGTGATGTAGCAGTTCTACTCCCAGGTATGAGCCCAGTGGAAGCAAGTGCTTCTGTCCACTAAAGGTCACAAACAAGAGTATTCATAGCTTTATTCATTACAGCACCTAACTGGAAATGACTCAAACGTCCACCAGTAGGAGAGAGGAGAAATAAATTGTGGTATGTTCATACAATAGAATACTATATTATTTGAAAGACTACTGAATCATTTAGAAACATGCATCAGTTTCACAGATTTTTTTATTTTTTATTATTTTTTCTGAGATGGAGTTTCACTCAGTCACCCAGGCTGGAGTGCAGGGGCGCCATCTCGGCTTACTGCAACCTCTGCCTCCTGGGTTCAAGCAATTCTCCTGCCTCAGCCTCCTGAGTAGCTGGGATTACAGGCGCATGCCACCACACCTAGCTAATTTTTTGTATTTTTAGTAGAGATGGGGTTTCACCATGTTGGCCAGGCTGGTCTCGAACTCCTGACCTCGGGTGATCCGCCCGCCTCAGTCTCCGAAAGTGCTGGGATTATAGGCGTGAGCCACCACGCCCAACAAATTTCACAGATTTTTGACAAAAATGTGAATATGTACTAATTACTTCCATTTATAGGAAGATTAGTGTATTAGTTCATTCTCGCATTGCTGTAAAGAAATACCTGAGCCTGGGTAATTTATAAGAAAAGAAATGTAATTGGCTCACAGTTCTGCAGGCTATATAGGAAGTATGATGCTGGCATCTGCTTGGCTTCCGGGGAGGCCTCAGGAAACTTGAAATCATGGCAGAAGGCTAAGTGGGGAGCCAGCACTTGACATATCCGGAACAGGAGGGATTGAGAAAGGGAGGAGGTGCTACATACTTTAAACAACCAGAACTCACTATCACGAGAACAGCACCAAGAGGATGGTACTAAACCATTCAGGAGAAACCACCCCCATGATCCAGTCACCTCCTACCAGGCCCCACCTCCAACATTGAGGATTACGGTTCACCCTGAGATTTGGTGGGACACAGATCCAAACCATGTCAATTAGTAATGAACAAAACTAATTGGTAGCGATAGAAAAGTCCAAGAAGTGCTTATCTCAGGCTTGGGAAAGCTGACAGTATTGACCAGGAGTGGGCACAGGGTCTTAAGGAGCTGCATGTGTTCTGTGCCATTCTGGCGGTAGTCATCTGGGATGCATGTACATAGGGTTCATTCAGCCATGTGCTTAAGGGGATTCACACTTGACTCTTGGTTTTAGCTCAATTTTAAAAAACAAATTTAAGCTCTGGTTTCTGAGAGATGCTAGGTTGAAGCCTCAGCTCTGCCCCTCGGCAGCCCTGTGGCAAGAAAGGCAAGTCTGAGCCTTAGTTTCCTCATTTGTTCAAGGGTGGGAAGTTCATAGGAAGCTAAATAAAGGCTAGAGAGTTGATAATGAGTCAGAGGGATGTCTCCTTGACCTCGCAGAAGAGATTTACCTTTTTTTTTTTTTTTTTTTTTTTTTGAGACACAGTCTCTCTCTGTCACCCAGGCTGGAGTGCAGTGGTGCAATCCTGGCTCACTGCAAGCTCTGCCTCCCAGGTTCACGCCATTCTCCTGCCTCAGCCTCCCAAGTAGCTGGGACTACAGGCGCCCGCCACTATGCCCGGCTAATTTTTTGTATTTTTAGTAGAGACGGGGTTTCACCACATTAGCCAGGATGGTCTCGATCTCCTGACCTCGTGATCCACCCGCCTCGGCCTCCCAAAGTGCTGGGATTACAGGCGTGAGCCATCGCGCCCGGCCAAGATTTACCATTCATGTCATTTTTATTTTTAGAAAGTTTGCATGTCATTATCTGCCAAACTACCTATTTCTGAAAGCTATTGGTTTGAACTGTGTAAAACTCATTTTGTTTATGTCGAATGATTGTACCTAATACATCTGTTCAGATCTGTTCAAATCTATATTACCCTTAAGGTTTTAATATATGGGAAATGGATTTTATTTCATCGTGGCTTTTTTATGCATAAGATTGGTGACTATACCCAATGGGCACAGCACAGTTCTTTTTTTTTGAGATGGAATCTCACTCTGTTGCCCAGGCTGGAGTGCAGTGGCACTATCTCGGCTCACTGCAAGCTCCATCTCCTGGGTTCATGCCATTCTCCTGCCTCAGCCTCCTGAGTAGCTGGGACTACAGGCACCCGCCACCATGCCCGGCTAATTTTTTTGTATTTTTTTTTTTAGTAGAGACTGGGTTTCACCGTGTTAGCCAGGATGGTCTCGATCTCCTGACCTTGTGATCTGCCCGCCTCGGCCTCCCAAAGTGCTGGGATTATAGGTGTGAGCCACCGCGCCTGGCCACACAGTGCAGTTCTTACCTGTAACAGCTGAGGAGAAAGTTGTCCACAGGCCTCATACGTATTTAGGAGGCCTTGGAAATGGGCAACTGTTGAAACACTGGAGCTGCAACTGCATGTGCTTCTGAAAGTCTTCTGACACTTCCTTTGCAAATGGTGGAAAACAAATGAAAAAGAAGATTGGAATGTTGTTTTCCTTCTGCTCTCAACTTGTGCTCTTAAAAGTATAATTTGACTTAAATGATAGAGATGGTGTATAATGATGGAAATGATAAATGATGGAGTTTTGTATTTTATTCTAAATAGTATAATCTGACTTAAATGATAAGAGATGGTGTTATATAACAATAGAAATGATAAGTGATGGAATTTCTTATTTTATTCTAATTATAGTATTTCTTTTTAGGAGCAGACATTAAAGACAAATTAAAATGTTATGACTTTGATGTGCATACAATGAAGACACTAAAAAACATTATTTCACCTCCGTGGGATTTCAGGGAATTTGAAGTAGAAAAACAGACTGCAGAAGAAACGGGGCTTACGCCATTGGAAACCTCAAGGAAAACTCCAGATTCCAGACCTTCCTTGGAAGAAACCTTTGAAATTGAAATGAATGAAAGTGACATGATGTTAGAGACATCTATGTCAGACCACAGCACGTGACTCCAGTCAGTGGTCCTGGTCCCACTGTCCCAGTGTAGGTTAGTATTCCTTCACATCCTCTCCATGGCTTAAGAATGTCCCACTTCCTAACGTGACTCCAAACTGCATCTCTACATTTAGGAACAGAGACCCGCCTTAAGAGACTGGATCGCACACCTTTGCAACAGATGTGTTCTGATTCTCTGAACCTACAAAATAGTTATACATAGTGGAATAAAGAAGGTAAACCATCTGTTATGTCTTTTTTTTTCTTTTCCAATAAACTTTTATTTTGGACTAATTTTTGATTTACAGAAAAATGGCAGAGATAGTACAGAGAGCTTATGTGTGCCCCTCACCTAGTTTCCCCCATTGGTAACCTCTTCTCTTCCCATGGTACATTTGTCATGACTAAGAAACCAACATTGTTAGTGTCCATTCACTAAAATCCAGCCTTGATTTGGATTTCACCAGTTTTTCCGTAATGTCTGCTTTCTGTCCCAGAGTCCCATCCAGGCACATACTGCATTTAGTCATCCCATCTCCTTTGCGTTCTCTTGCCTGTGACAGTTTCTCAGACTTCCCTTGTTTCTCATGACCTTGACAGTTTTGAGGAGTACTGGCCAGGTAGTCTGTAGAATGTCCCTCAATTGGAGTTTGATGTGTTTCTCAAGCACCTTTCTCATCACATCCTACTGGGTGGTTGTAACCACCACACGACCTATCCCAGGCAGTGCTGACCTTGGCCACCTGGTCACAGTGGTGTCTGCCAGATTTCTCCACTGTCAAGTTCCTGTTTTTCCCTTTCCATACTCTGTGGGTTGAGGAGGTTTCAGCTCCAACCCCTGGAGAGAGCAGTATCTGTGCATGTTATTCTTCTTGAAGATTTGTTTCTTCTCTCCTGTTTATTCGATCATTTATCAGTATGGACTCATGTTTACCTACAGGCATGCCTTGGGGACACTGCAGTTTTGGTTCCAAACTGGCAAGATAAAGCAAATATCACAATAAAACTAGTTTCACAAATTGGTTTCCCAGTACATATAAAAGTTATGTTTATACTGTAGTCTATTAAGTATGTAATAGCATTATATCCAAAAAAACAGTGTATATACCTTAATTTAAAAATACTTTCAGGAGTTCGAGACCAGCCTGGCCAACATGGCAAAACCCTGTTTCTATTAAAAATACAAAAATTAGCCGGGCGTGGTGGTGGGTGCCTGTAATCCCAGCTACTTGGGAGGCTGAGGCAGGAGAATCGCTTGAACCCAGGAGGCAGAGGTTGCGGTGAGCTGAGAGCACACCCACTGCTGCACTCCAGCCTGGGCAACAGAGCGAGCCTCCATCTCAAAAAAAAAAAAGAGAACACTTTATTGTTAAAAAAAAAAATGCTTATGATCCTCTAAGCCTTTAGCAAGTTGTAATCTTTTTGCTGATGGAGGGTCTTGCCTCCATGGGGATGGCTGATGATGATGGTGCTGAAGGCTGGGGTGACCGGTAACTTCTTAAAATAAGAGTGAAGTTTGCTGCATTGATTGACTCTTTCATGAAAGATTTCTCTGTAGCATATGATGCTGTTTGACAGCATATTACAGTAGAATGTCTTTCAAAATTGGGGTTAATCCTCTCAAACCCTGATGCTGCTTTATCAAGTAAATTTATGGAATCTTCTAAATCCTTTGTTGTTTCAACAGTGTTCAGAGTATCTTCACCAGGAGTAGATTCCATTTTAAGAAACTATTTTCTGTGCTCATCCATAGAGAGCAACTCCTCATCTATTAAAGTTTTATCGTGAGATTGCAGCAATTCAGTCACATCTTTAGGCTCCATTTTTAATTTTTATTTTTTATTTATATATTTTTTGACACAGGGTCTTATGTGTTGCCCCGGCTAGTCTCGAACTCCTGGACTCAAGCAGCCCTCCCACTTCAGCCTCCCAAGTAGGTGGGATTACAGGCACACGCCACCATGCCCAGCTCCACTTCTAATTTTAGTTATCTTGCTATTATCACCACATGCTGCAAGCAGCTTCTTCCAAACTCCCATTTTGACCACGTCTCATGAATCACAAATGTTCTTAATGGCATTTAGAATGGTGAATCCTTTCCAGAAAGTTTTCTATGTTCTTTGCCCAGATCCATCTGAGGAATCACTCTCTATGGCAGCTATAGCCTTACAAAATGTATTTCCTAAAAAATAAGACTTGAAATTCAAAATGACTCCTTGATCCATGAGCTGCAGGATGGATGTTGTGTTAGCAGCATGCAAACAGCATTCATCTTGTACATCACCCACGGAGCTCATGGATGACCAGGTGCATTGTCAGTATTGTCAATGAGCAGTAATACTTTGAAAGGAATCTTTTTCTGAACAGTAGGTCTCACGGGTAGGCTTAAAATAGTAAACCATACTGTAAACAGATGTGCTGTCACCCAAACTTTTTCTGTTTTTAAAGCACAGGCAGAGTAGACTTAGCTCTCAGATTTTCTTCAAAATGTGAATGAGCATTGGCTTTAGTTTAAAGCCTCCAGCTGCATTAGCCCCTAACAAGTCAGCCTATCGTTTGAAACAAGACATTGACTCCTCTTCAGCTATGAAAGTGCTAGATGGCATCATATTCCAATATAAGGCTGTTTTGTCTGCATTGATCGTTTTCTGTTTAATGTAGCCATCTTCATTAATTATCTTTGCTAGAGCATCTAGATGGCTTCTCCATCAGCACTTGCTGTTCCATCTTGCACTTTTTATGTTGTGGAGATGGCTTCTTCCCTTATACCTCATGAACCAATCTCTGCTAGTTTCTACCTTTTCTTTTGCAGCTCCCTCGCCTCTCTCAGCCTTCATAGAATTGAGGAGAGTTAGGGTCTTGCTCTGGATTAGGCTTTGGCTTACAGGAACGTTGTATCTCATTTGATCTCGTATCCAGATCACTCAAACCTTCTCCCTATCCGCCGCAATAAGGCTGTTTCACTTTTTTGTGTGTGTTTAATGGAGAAGCTCTTTTAATTTCCTTCAATAACTTTTCCTTTGCATTCACAACTTGGCCAACTGTTTGGTGCAAGAGGCCTGGCATTTGGCCCATTTTGGCTTTTGATGTGCTTCCTCATTTCCCGGCCATTATTTCTTTAGGGTTTTTTGTTTGTTTTTTTGTTTTGTTTTGTTTTCCCTTTTTCTCTCTTGTTGGGATTCCTATATGCGTGCATTGGTATTTCTGATGGTGTCCCATGGGTCCCGTAGGTTCTGTTCTTTTCTTACTTGTGCTCCTCAGACTGGATAAGTTCAACTGCCTTCTCTTCACCTTTGCTAATTCTGCCTGCTCAAGTCTGCTGCTGAATCCTTCCAGTGAATGCTTTAATTTCAGCTATTGTGTTTTTCAGTTCCCGAGTTTCTATTTGGTTCCTTGTTATCATTTCTATCTCTGTTGACAGTTTCTGTTTGTTCATACATCGCTCTCCTAGTTCTTTTAGTCCGTTTTCCGTGGTTTCCGCTAGCCCTCTGAGCATATTAATACAGTTGATGAACATCTTTGACTAGTAATTCTAATATCTGGGGTCCCTCAGTGACAGTTTCTGTCATATTCTTTTCTTCCCATAAGTCAGCCATATTTTCCATTTTATTTGTGTGCTTTGTAATTTTGTGTTGAGGACTGTACAGTTTGAATATGACACTGCAGTAGCTCTGGAAATCAGATTATCCCTCTCCTCAGGGATTGCTTCTGTTACTTGTTGAGGGCTGCAGTTCATTTGTGTAGTGAATTTTCCAAGTTATTTTTGCGAAGTCTGTATTCCTGAGGTTCTTGGTCTTTTTATTGTCTCTGGTCAGCCTGTAACCTGACAGAAATTTCCTTAAATGTCTGGATCTTTTCTTCTTTTTTTTGAGATGAGGTCACACTCTGTCACCTAGGCTACAGTGCAGTGGCATGATCATAGCTCACTACGGCCTCTAACGCCTTGGCTAAAGGGATCTTCTCGCCTCAGCCTCCGAGTAGCTAGGACTATAGGAATGCACCACCATGCCCGGCTAATTTATTTATTTTATTTTTGTAGACACGCAGTCTCGCTGTGTTACCCAGGGTGGTCTTAAACTCGGGCTCTAATGATCCTCTCGCCTCAGCCTACCAAAGTGCTGGGATTTCAGGCGTGCATAACTGCGCCTGGCCCGATATCTAGATCTTTTTTTTTAAAAGAAGTGTATGTCTCTAAATTTTCTGATAGATGGTATTGGGGAAATTGCTGCAGCCTGAGGGGGTCGAGACAAAGGCACGCATCGACGCTGGTCCCTCAGGGCACCATCATGTGACCAAAATGCACAGGGTCCTCGCTGAGGACAGGCTGCAGCAGGTAGGTTGGCTGTCCATCCACACCACCCTCTTAACCAAAAAGCTGCAGCCTCTGCATCATCAAGCCTTCCCCGGGTTGCAGTAAGCATCTGATGAGGTGACAGAGTTAGAAAACAGTTGATTCTGCTAATTTGTTGTCCAGCTTAATGGTGGTTTTGGTGGAAGAACCAATTAATCCCTGAAGCTTCCTGCCCTGCCGTTTTCTGTGACGTCACTGCTGTCTTAAAACTATAACTAAATATTAGTCATATTAAAAAAAAACTATAGGCTGGGCGCAGTGGCTCACGCCTGTAATCCTAGCACTATGGGAGGCTGAGGCGGGCGGATCACGAGGTCAGGAGATTGAGACCCTCCTGGCTAACACGGTGAAACCCCGTCTCTACTAAAAATACAAAAAATTAGCCGGGTGTAGTGGTGGGTGCCTGTAGTCCCAGCTACTCAGGAGGCTGAGACAGGAGAATGGTGTGAACCTGGGAGGCGGAGCCTGCAGTGAGCTGAGATTGCGCCACTGCACTCCAGCCTGGGTGACAGAGCGAGACTCCATCTCAAAAAAAAAAAAAAACAAAAAACACAACTATAGCTAAATAATAGTCATATAAAATAAATTGCAGTACTTATCAAATTTCAGTTTAACTTTTGAAAGTCATAGTATTTAAGGTAACAAACTCAGCTATTAACACATTTTATGATGCTTTAAAAAGCTCAAAGAATTGAACAGCTATTGGTGCTAAGTTATAATTGTGTTCTATAAAATAAATGTGATTCACTATTCTTTGTAATTGCTACCTCCTGGTATGTATAAGATAAAGAAATTGAATTTTACCTATTTTCTCACATACTAATTTGGTGACGTATCCTTTTAACTGTTGGCAAATGTTATAGGCTCTCTTGGCCTGTTTTTTATTCCATTATTTTAACATCTTTTGCAGTTTTCTCACATAAGATTGAAAACTGAATCTATGTGAAATAAGCAGGTGTCTATCAGTAATGATATTTAAAATATGTCACAGCTGGATTCCCTGTTTTGTAGGAGCATCTGAAATCAGCCATAGCGGAACAGATGGAAATGCCCCATTTGTTGGGGTCAAGAAGGAAAAGTTCTTACATAGTTTTACACATTTGGCTGGTGATTGATTTTGTGAAAAGATATGTTAAAATTTGTTTGTTTTTTGAGACGGAGGCTCACTGTGTTGCCCTGGCTGGAGTGCAGTGGCGTGATATCGGCTCACTGCAACCTCTGCCTCTCGGACTCAAGCAATCCTCCTGTCTCAGCCTACTGAGTAGCTGGGATTACAGGCTCCTGCCACCACACCCAGCTAATTTTTGTATTTTTAGTAGAGACGGGGTTTCACCATGTTGGCCAGGCTGATCTCAAACTCCTGACGTCAAATGATGCACCTGCTTCAGCTTCTGAAAGTGCTGGGATTACAGGCTTGAGCCACAGCGCCCGGTCTGAAAAGATACGTTTAAAAATTTTATTTTAAAAAGGTGCTACAAGACAATTCTACTAAATCTCTAATCTTTAAACTTTTTTTTAACCTCTTCACTGAGATTAGGAAAAGAATCTTGATATGACTCCTAGGTGATAACTGTATAAACAGACAACACCCCCACTCTTCATCATTCTAATAAAGAGAGAGGATTATATGCTTCATTTGTTTAAAGTCCTTTATTCAAACTCTCCTACTACTAACATCAGAGGACATGTTACTCTACTTTTTCATAAAAACAAACTTGTGTAGTTATTAGAAAGCATCTATTCACGGCATCATTAACAAATTAGGCATTATACAGAAGTGAATTTTCCAGGCAACTGAGGTGCTGCCTTAAACACAAAACTTTTTATCTTAACCTATCTGAAGTGTATTCCCTGTATTTCTACCTTCTGAAGCAGAACAATGATAGCATTCATTTCTTGAGGATCCCCAGGTGTTAACTCTAGTAAATCTTTTAAGGAGGGCTTTGTTCCCCTTCATACTGATGAGGGTCTAGCACTGTTGTATGGTGCATTGAAGACTAGCATTCAGACCCCATCCTGTCTCCATTCATCATGGTGAAAGTCAGGTATCGCGCTGGAAGTTAATGCAGTAATACATTTAGAGACCATGAGTTACCCCACGCTAAATTAGACTCAAACTAATGCGTTTTCATGTTTTCATTTTTAAATGGCTTTTCTGTCTCTCTGTCAGGCATCATGTATGCCTCCCCTGTCTTGAGTTGGGGCTAAAAAATCAAGTGACTGAACTTAAGGTAATTATTTTTAAAACAACTAAAATGAAAGTATTATATTAATAAAGTGCTGAGTTTTTTACATTTATTTTTCCTGCCAGAGCAAAAAAAAAAAAAAAACCATTTAGTTTTCTCATTGATCACTGTTAGAATTTTTCTGGTTTCTGTAAGTGAATGTCAAAAGGTTCAGACACTTGAGTAAGCTGTAATTCGGATCAGCAGCAGTGTTAACACCAGTGTTTAGGCCTCTGAGAGTAAAAACAATGTGTCGTACTGCCAAGTATTGTTCCTGTTACTACCCAATTCTTCAGTATCTCAGGACACAGTTTATCCTAAAAAGGTGTCCTGTTTGCTAACTACAGTGGCTGTGTTATCGTTAAAGGAAATACTGGGAAGTGTTACGGTCACCAGCTTCAAGTCACTGTCATCTACCAATGAGATAGGGGCTACCAAGTAAAATGTAGCCCAGGGCCACATTCACAGATGGAAGTGTTCAGTTAAGCAAAAGTAAAGTTACATACTAAAAGCCCACATGAAGAAGGATTTGGAGATATTTCTTCCTGCTTTGCTTTGGCTGTAAAGTTCTGTACATGTATCAAACAGAGCATTTCAACAGGCTGGCTAATGTGTAGGAAGCTAGCTTTTCTTTGTGATATAATTTGTCATGTAAAATCATAAGCTATTTTACAAGTGTATTTCATTCACTGTATCTTAAAATTCATATGGTTTTATTTAAAGATAATTTCATCAAACAGCTGAATTCTAAAATCCTACCTTTTTTTCAAAATCATTTTTCAGAACTTTGCAATAACAGGAAGTAAAGAATCAGAAGGGTGTTAAAAAATTGACTTGGGGGGAAAAACATTTGGACATTTTGCTGGCTAGGTTTACGAAATATACACATCCAGCAAACATGTGAGTCCCTTTAGGGTACAGTGCAGTGAAGGGAGAAGTGGAAATACTCAAGGTTCTGGGGAAGGTCAAATGAAGGGTCCCTCACATTGGCTGAGGCCAACCTGGCTTCAGAGGTGTGCAGAGGCACCAGGCCGAGAACAGGGCTTTGCAGTGGTGAGGGCAAAACATGAACACAAGAAATACCCTAAGTTACTGACCTGGTTGTGCCTGGTGACAGATGGGACCAGCTCTTTTCTCCATTTGGTAATTTTGGAAAATTTGGCAGAGTTAATAAAGAAATCCCCTTGGTGCAAGATTGCTACAATAAGAATCTATTATAGATGGCAGATGTGAAGTTCACAGTCCTTTTTATTATCCTAACCTAGTAACATGACTAGAGGTAAAATTAAATATTGAGTTAGATGATTGTTTAATATTTTAAAACCAGAGGGAAGACATACAAATAGATTGAGAGCAGTTTCTTTCTAAAGATAATCAGAATATATCTCCTATATTTTAAACACTGCAGGAACAGTCAAAATTTTAAAATAAATGGTTTCCACATTTTTTTATCCCCATCTCTCCCCCTGACTATATAGTAAAATATTTTATTTGGCAACCACGTTTTCCTACTTTTAATCACACATCATCAGAGCTTTTCATCAGCCTAACTAGTCTTCCTACTCACTGAGTTGTGACGAAAGCCTGGTCTAGGCACTTTTACCACGGCCATGTTTTTGTTAAGATCCCTGCAGACTGTGAACTATGAAAACCAGCCCCTGGCCCCGCTTGTGGGTGCTGCAGAGCCGCGTGTGAACTGCTCCTAGGAAACCGCGTCTCTGGGCAGGGTGGCTCTCGGGCCGTGGATCCGCCTAAAAGCTTTTCTGCCAGTGACGCCCTTGGTCTCTGGATGTGTTCACGCCTCAGTGATTTTACTCTCTGGTTTCTTGTGTGTGCTTGAGATTCTTGAGAGAAAGCGTGCTGCAGATGAAAAATGCAGCCTACATGAAAAAGAGAAGGGGAAAGCCATTTTAAAATAACTTCCATGTAAGTTACTGTAATCAAAGTGCTGCTGCCTGTGTGTTCATAAAAAAATATGTGCAAGGGCCCGGAGCGGTGGCTCATGCCTGTAATCCCAGCACTTTGGGAGGCCGAGGTGGGCGGATCACTTGAGGTCAGGAGTTACCGAGACCATCCTGGCCAACAAGGTGAAACCCCGTCTCTACTTTAAAAAAACAAAAAAATTAGCCAGGGGTGGTGGCGCGTGCCTGTAGGTCCCAGCCACTCAGGAGGCTGAGGCAGAGGCTGCAGTGAGCCGAGATCGCGCCACTGCACTCCGGTCTGGGCGACAGAGCGAGACTGTCTCCAAAAAAATTAAGAATTCAAATGTGAACCCGGCTTTCATGGCGCCCCGGCCACGGAGAGCCTGGGGGAGTGGGATAAAAACGGTGCTGGGATGGGAGGGCGGCTTGTCCGCGAACTCCTCCCACCACGCCCGGACCAAAGCCGCCGGCGCCCCGCTTCCGGGGCCGCCCTAAACCGCGGCCGCCGCTCCCTGAGGGGCCGCCTGACCCGGCGGAAAGCCAGGCTGTGTGGCCGGAGGTCACCACCCCGACCCCGACTAGTCCCGCAGCGCCTGACCCCTTCGTGGGCGGCCCCGACCGCCGCGGCTCGAGGAGGGGCGGGGCTGGGGCGGCCGAGCTCTCGCGAGGTTTCGTCGGGGGCTGGCGGCTGCGGCTCGGCGGAGAGTGCGGCATGCGCTCGGAAAAGGAGGGGGCCGGAGGCCTTCGGGCGGCCGTTGCCGCGCGGGGCCCGAGCGGGAGGGAGAAGCTGTCGGCCCTAGAAGTGCAGTTCCACCGCGACTCGCAGCAGCAGGAGGCTGAGACGCCGCCAACTTCGTCCTCCGGTTGCGGGGGCGGTGCGGGCAAACCTCGCGAGGAGAAGAGGACGGCCCTGAGCAAGGTGGGGACGGGGGCGGGGCGCGCAAACCTCGCGAGGAGAGGACGGCCCTGAGTGGAGGGAGGGGAGGGAGGGGAGGGAGGGGCGGGGGCCGGGCCTCCCAGCGCGGTACGCGGTGCCTTTTGAGCTCCTTGTCCACGCTCCGCCCCGGTGGGAACGGCCGCGCGCTCCCCGCAGGTGGTCATCCGCCGCCTGCCTCCGGGCCTCACCAAGGAGCAGCTGGAGGAGCAGCTGCGCCCGCTGCCAGCACACGACTACTTCGAGTTCTTCGCCGCCGACCTGAGGTGAGGCCCGCCCCGAGGGGAGGAAGAGAGGGCGGAACCCAGAGCTCGGCGGCGGTGGCCGTCTCGTTGCCTTACGTTCCTTACCCTGATTTCTCCTATATGGGAGTCGTGTGAGCTTTTTGAATAAATACATTTCAGTAAAACGTGTCCGTTCCGTCAAAGAAAAATACCACCAACAAAGAAACACAGATGTGGTTTACATGAAAAATGCGGATGATTTTCAGACGGCTAACGCTTAGGAAAGCGGGTGCCTTTGAAAGGACCAGCGTTGCCCGCCCGGCGCCTCCCGGGCTTCCCTGCTCGTCCGCGGACGGGGCGCTGCGGGGCCGGGGGGCGCCGGCTCTTCCTGTGGCCTCCACGCTGGTGCCGCAGCCAGTGCGGTTTTAAATACCGGAGAAGGTCCCCAAGTCAGGAGAGTCTCTCGGCGCCACGGGTTCCTCTGGGAGTGCGCCCTGGCCTTGCCTTAGGGTTTCAGCCTCGGAGGACCGGTTCTGGGCAGTGGAGAAGGGACCTGAGTTCTGCCTTGTAAAGTTAACGTTTTGCGTTTGTTTTTGCTAAAGAATATCCAAGTTGTTACAATTAACTGAGATGATTTGGCACAAAAGTTTTATCTAAAGTAGTTTGTTGTGCCCAGAAAAGGAAAAAGAGGCTAAATTAATGGACTATTGTATTTTTCACTGACCATTTTCACTGTTATCTCTTATTTCAGTCTTTATCCTCATCTCTACTCAAGAGCATACATTAATTTTAGGAATCCTGATGACATCCTTCTTTTTAGAGATCGTTTTGATGGATATATCTTCCTTGACAGCAAAGGTTGGATTATTGGTTTTTAAAAATCTATTATAATCTGTAGGTATACTAATGAAGTATTGCTAGAATATTCGTGCTTTTTAAATTATTATTATTTTTTGAGACAGGGTCTTGCTCTGTTGCCCAGGCTGGAGTGCAGCAGCCGCAATCACGGCTCACTGCAGCCTCACACTGCGGCTCAAGCAATCCTCCAGCCTCCTAGGTAGCAGGGACCACAGGCGTGTGCCACCATGATCGGCTGATTTAAAAAAAAAATTGTGTAGAGACGGGGGTCTCACTGTGTTGCCCAGGCTGGTCTTGAACTCCTGGCTTCAAGTGATCCTCCCACCTCAGCCTCCCAAAGTGCTGGGATTACAGGCGTGAGCCACAGCATCCGGTCTATTTGTGCATTTTAATTAAAAAGTTCTCAGACTAAAATAAGTTTATAAATTTTGATTATGTTACTGTAATTATGTGCAGATATTAAAAATTGAAATTATTTAATTTTATTATTTAATCCAAAAAAATTCCAGAAATTCTGTGTAATAGTGACAGCCTATTTATGTATTATCATCAGAGAATGAAGGTTTTCATGAGTGAGTTTGTTGCATGAGAGAACTTGATCTTTTTAGGTTCTAAAGCTAAACTATTTTACCTGATAGGAATTTTCCAAAATGTACACTGACTTCTATCTTCCTAAACAGCATCCTTCATGACTGTACCATTTATGATAATGTCACCAGGAAGTCACTGCTGTTAAACAGCTTTGCCTGCGGAGACAGCAGTCTTCAACTCTACTCTCAATAGTTCCCTTATCAGTACTTCTAGGGTTCTGCTTTCATCTTTTTCCTTCTCTTCTCCTGTCAGGCTGTCTGCTGTTGTGTTCCTGGCTGTCAAGTTTGTATACCTTTCACAGCAAGTTGTTTTCTGCCCTCCCCTCCCCAGCCACCCTCTTCCGACTCCACGTGTTTTGACACTGATGAGTGTTTTCTTTTTCTCCAATGAGGGGTAAGGACTAGAAAGATTGTTAAAAAAATAAGCATTAGCCAAGCTAGTTCCTGTGACTAGAAGCAAATGTGATGCTTGAACTGACCTTTGTGTTCATTGCTCATTTATTCAGTAACTTACTGAGTTTCCCTTTTTCACTTAAAAAATATTGGTGGGCCGGGCACAGTGGCTCACACCTGTAATCCCAGCACTTTAGGAGGCCAAGGCGGGTGGATCACGAGGTCAGGAGTTCGAGACCGGCCTGAGCAACAACGTGAAACCCTGTCTCTACTAAAAATACAAAAATTAGCCAGGCATGGTGGCAGGCGCCTGTAGTCCCAGCTACTCGGAAGACTGAGACAGGAGAATTGCTTGAACCTGGGAGGCGGAGGTTGCAGTGAGCCGAGATCATGCCACTGCATCCCAGCCGGGGCGACGGAGCAAAAAAATATGTATGTGTATGTACGTGTATGTATATGTGTGTGTGTGTGTAAAATATGTGTAACATGGCCAGGTGTGATGGCTCACTCCTGTAATCCCAGCACTTTGGGAGGCCGAGGAATGTAGATCAGTTGAGGTCAGGGGTTCGAGACCAGCCTGGCCAAGATGGTGAAACCCTGTCTCTACTAAAAAAAAAAAAAAATTAGCCAGGCATCATGAGGCATGCCTGTAATCTCAGATACTTGGGAGACTGAGGCATGAGACTCACTTGAACCCGGGAGGCAGAGGTTGCAGTGAGCCAAGATCGTGTTACTACACTGTAGCCTTGGTGACAGAGTGAGACTCTGTCTCAAAAAAAAAAAAAGTCACAAAATTTATACCATACTGTTTTCCACAGTGACTGCGCCATTTTAGGTTCCCACCTGTAGTGAGCAAGGGGCCAGTCGTCCTTGTTTCCGGTTATCTTTGTTGTCGTTGTTTTGTTTTTTAGAGATGGGGTCTCACTATGTTGCCCAGGCTGGTGTCAAACTCCTGAGCTCAAGCGATTCCCCCCACATTGGCCTCCCAAAGTGCTGGGCTACAGGCGTGAGCCGCTGCCCTGCCGTTGTTTTTATGGTCTCTGGCCTAAGCCTGTGCTTTTGATGTCATATGCAACCCATTGCCAAATCCATTGCCATGGAGCTTTTCCCCTGTGTTTTTTTCCAAGTGTTTTATGGTTTCAGGTCTTATATTTAGGTTTGATCCATATCGAGTTACTTTTTGTATATGGTGTTAGGTAAGGGTCCAGCTTCATTCTTCTGGCTGTGGATATCCAGTTTTCCCAGCACCAGTTGTTGAAAAGACTTTCTTTTCCCCATTGAATGGTCTGGGCACCCTTTTCAAAAATCAGTTGACCAAGTATTACAAAGGTTTATTTCTGTGCTCTCTATTTTATTCCCTTGGTGGATGTGTCTGTCTACATGGCAGTACCACACTGATTACTTTCAGCTTTGGAATCAGGGAGTATGTCATCTGCCATTGAATGAGTATCCACTGTGTGCTAGGCCTTGTGGGTGGAGCGGTGACTTGGACATCGTCCCTGCTGGTCCAGTGCCCTGCCGTCCCCCTGAGTCTTGACTTTATTCTGGATAGTGGAGGTTGGCACAAAAATATCTCCCAGTTAAAGGAATTATAATTCAGTCACCTGACTATTACTGACAAGTCAAAAAAAAATGACTCAGTGGGTTTAGTACCAAGGTAGCAGTGTTCCATTTGATGATTCAGCATATAGCAGGTTCTCTTAGTGAACATTTCTCTTTGTGTATTTGTTTTTCCCCCACATAGCAACGAAGTTAGTTTCTAATGACTTCCATTCTCTACTTTTATCAGAAGCAGATTTCACCTGGAATATTCTATAAACCCTTTGAAACCCTCTATTTTAGCCATGGTGTCTTCTAAGCAAAGTAATTTTCTTGAACTTAAATAACAAATTGATAGTTGAATTAACCTTTTAAAATAAAATGTAAAGTGTAGCTAAGAAATCATTATTTAAAGGTATTCCAACGATAAATTATTTGGGATGGGGCTGGGGAGGTCAGGTATATTGAGGTGTAAGTTACATATGGTAAAAGTCACCCTTTTAAAGTGAACAATTTGATGAATTTTGAACAACTTCAGTTATGCAACCACCACAACATGATGGATTGTTTTAGTAAATGTTCTTCTTACCAGGAGTTCATCCTTGTTTAAGTCTGGAGTTTGCCGTGTTAAGGTTGCAGGTGCTTGAAAGTGTAATAAAATTGTAGGTTTTTTAATCTTTTTTTTAATCTCTTACTGGAAGGATGAATTATAGTTTAAATAGTAATAATGCATTGTCGTTGTTACACTTACTCTTTAAGTAAGTTAGGTCATTATTTTCCGAAATGAATGTAGTAGAATTTCAGAATGGCTTCTGGAACATGTTTCCTGTTAAAAGGCCTAGAATATCCTGCAGTGGTAGAGTTTGCTCCATTCCAGAAGATAGCCAAAAAGAAGCTGAGAAAAAAAGATGCCAAGACTGGAAGCATCGAAGATGGTGAGCCCTTTCCAAGTGCTACGTTATGAAGCTGCCAAATTAAGAACACTGAGCAAATGTAATTCTCCCGTAGTTGGGAAAGATTATATTTATTTTCTTCCTACTTTTTAATGTCTAGATCCAGAATATAAGAAGTTTTTAGAAACCTACTGTGTGGAGGAAGAGAAGACCAGTGCCAACCCTGAGACTCTGCTGGGGGAGATGGAGGCGAAGACAAGAGAGCTCATTGGTCTGTTTTGCTCATTTCTTCTCTTTTCTTTATTGAGAGATTTACTCGTAGAGGATATACGTTTTTTCTCTTTTTCTTGACTGTGATAACAAGTTGAAACTTGTTACAGGCTTGACAGAAATGTAGAGTGATTTCCAGTTTTGACAAAAGAATGGCAAGATGGCAGCATGGGAAAATATTTCTGAGCGTTGGTTGATGGAGAGCACGTGATTTTTTTAGTTAAGATCATTTTAAGTTATGATGCTTCCGAATGAGCAGTGCAGAAGACACATGAATGGTCTGTTCCTGAGCGTCAGGGAAGGCATGTTGTGTCACATAGTTGAAGTCAGTGGTCACAGACGGATGCCTCAAGAGCCCATAGGAATGAGATGTTTTGCTTGCGGTGAGGTCATCTTGCTGCTTCAACACAAATGCCAGGCTCCCCGAGCCAGGCCAACTTGTGGATAAGCCCAGCCAGAGCACAGAATCGAGTTTAAATCCAGCCTTCCACCCCATGCCCACAAGTGGTGTACTTTAGAAATAGTTACTTCCCAGTAGCACCAACATACTTCCCAGTAGCACCAACATGAAAATCAGGCAAACTGTTGTTGTTTAGTCCCAGACACACCTGGTAGTGTTTCTCTTCTCTGTGGATCTCCTTTCCTCAAAGCCCTGGTTCTTCACCTCTCATCTCTCCCGCCCAGGCTGTGCCCTGCCCACCCATCAAGATGGATGTACTTTGGGAGGCCAGGGTGGGCGGATCACAAGGTCAGGACTTCGAGATCAGCCTGGCCGACATGGTGAAACCCCATCTCTACTAAAGATACAAAAAATTAGCAGGGCATGGTGGTGCGTGCCTATAGTTCCAGCTACTGAGGAGGCTGAGGCAGGAGAATCGCTTGAACCCAGAAGGCGGAGGTTGCAGTGAGCTGAGATCGCACCACTGCACTCCAGCCTGGTGACAGAGCGAGACTCCATCTCAAAAAACCAATAAAATTGATGTGACATGACAGCCACATTGTTTATCATTTATTTTCCTGTCTGTCTCCCACCACATAAACTCCCTTCTTGTTTTGTCTCCCCAGTGGAACTATATTTTCATCTTCATGGTTGTAGAAAAGTTCAGGAATTTAGTAGATGTTGATTGAATTAATAAAAAAAGATTAATATTACTGAAATAGTCCGTTCACTTTCTTCATTTATCTAGTAATAAAGCTTTTTTTCCCCCCACTCTGTTGCCCAGGCTGGAGTGCGGTGGCACAATCTCGGCTCACTGCAACCTCTGCCTTCCCAGTTCAGGCCATTCTTCTGCCTCAGCCTCCTGAGTAGCTGGGATTACAGGCACCCGCCATCATGCCCAGCTAATTTTTATATTTTTGTGGAGATGGGTTTCACCATGTTGGCCAGGCTGGTCTTGAACTCCTGATCTCAGATGATCCGCCTGCCTCAGCCTCCCAAAGTACTGGGATTACAGGCGTGAGCCACCACACCTAGCCGTAATAAGGCTTTTGATCACTAAAGTAAACAAAATATGCTGAGGCTGCATGCTGCCTGGGCACTGACTCTGGGCCTCAGCATGGGGCCAAGTGGTAAGCAGGTTGCACAAGGCCTCTGCCTACCATCGGGATGACAGGTTGGAAGCAGGAGCAGGAATAGTCCAACCAGGGCACCTCAGTGTGTAATCACTGCCACTGATGTGACAAAGTGGAATATGGGAGGGAAAGAGGTTGGGAGACTCCCTCCAAGATAGTGGTGGAGCTGGAGCTGAGACTGGCTGCGGGAGGGAAAGAGGTCAGGAGATGAGCTGAGCCTGGCCGTGCTGAGCAGTGGAGGAAGGAAGCGCCAGGGGCAGGGCCGGCTGCTGTCGCTTTTCACTGCAGGCGCAGAGTGCAGGCTTGTGGGGTTGGCACACATGGGTGAGGGCAGCGTGGTTGGAGGTTCAGGGCACTGCAAGACATTTAGATTCATTCCAGGGCAACTGGAAGCCACTGGGGGAGTAGCATGGTCTGATTATTTGTCCCCGTCACTTTGGTGGTGTCACATGGGATAGACTGTGGATGCCAAGAGATGAGCGTGTGTTTTGGAGGTGGGCTGGACAGGACCGACAGACGGATAGGGTGTGGGAGGTAAGGGGACAGGAAGAATTAAGACTCCAGTGCTTGGCTTGAACAGATGGGTGGATTGTGGCACCATTATACACAAGGGAACATGAGGGTAGGACAGTATTGGGGGCAAAGTCGAGATTTCACTTAAGAACTTGATAAATTGAAGAAGAGCTAGAAGCAGCAAATTAGACGTTATTACAGGCCTCATCTCCCTGCCCCTCCCATTTCCATCTCACTTTGTTTTAAATGTCCCCTTGCAAAGGATCGGTCACTTTAGGGCTGTTTTGAGACATACCTTTTTGGGGCAGACACGTGGCTCCTGCCGGGGTGGGGAGAGGGGGGCATGTCCTGGCACCTCCCCGAGAGTCTGCTGCACAGCCAATGCTTCACAAAAGTTGGCTGAATGAATGAATGAATGTGGCTTAGAACCCACCATCCCTGATGGGAGCGATTAATTCATTCCAGGACTTGGCTGTAGAGTCTTCCTTGTTTCTGTGATTGCTGTTTCTATGTATGAAAAATTGAAACTTGGCCGGGTGCGGTGGCTCACACCTGTAATCCCAGCATTTTAGGAGGCTGAGGCGGGCAGATCATGAGGTCAAGAGATTGAGACCTTTCTGGCCAACATGGTGAAACCCCGTTTTTACTAAAAATACAAAAATTAGCTGGGCGTGGTAGCATGCGCCTGTAGTCCCAGCTACTTGGGAGGCTGAGGCAGGAGAATCGCTTGAACTCGGCAGGCGGAGGTTACAGTGAGCCAAGACCACGCCACTGCACTCCAGCCTGGCGACAAAGTAAGACTCCATCTCAAAAAAAAAAAAAAAAAAAATTTTAGGCAATTCATGGCAGATTACCTTTTTCTTTTCTAAGCTTTTGGCCTCCAGTGGATTCTTCTGCACAGGTCTGAGAAGCAAGTGTTAAATGGAAATACTAATAAGCTGTTTCTGGCAAGGACTCTGGAGTTGTTGAGTTAGTCTGGTGCATCGGCCTTTAGCATCGGCCTTTAGAGCAGACAGGCCTGGGTTCAGCTCTGAGACTTCTGTTTACTTGTGTTCTGTTGCATGGTTGTGCGTATTCTGTCTGATAAATAACATACTTTTATGATGTGTAGAACACTTTCTTATTCAGGGTCTAACGTACTTTGCCCGTGATCCCTGTGGGTGATAGGGCAGACATTTTATAGGAAGAGGAAGGTGGGCAAGCGGAGTCTGGGGTCAGCCTCCCCACACATCCAGGTGGTCTCGCCCGGCTCCTGGCTGACAAGTTCAGGCTTTCCACAGAGCAGAGCAGAACCCTGGCTGATTTGAGATAATTTGCCCATTACAAAGAGCTGACCATTTACCTGAGCCAGTGTGCTGTACTCACCCTGAGCCAGAGTTCATGGTCAGCCCAGGGACCCCTGGGGGAGTGTTCTCTGTGGCAACTGTGTCTGCCACGAAATGTGGCATTTGTACCTGCATCAGCTCTTCCCTACAACCACTGTGCCTGGGGCAGGGCTCCTGGGACAATCGGCTCTTCCCTACAACCACAGACTGTCCCTGGGGAAGGGCTTCTGGGACAGGTGCCATTTCATCTATGATGTCAGGGTGTCAGGGGTTCTCAGTTCCAAGTGATGGATCCCTGGCCAGGGCTTCTCCTATGATTCCTGATTCATTCCTGGTCCTCAGAATTCCAGAGATGATGTGTCAGTTTTCAGGTACATCCAGGGATTCTTCCCAGCCCTGTTTAGTCTGAGATCTTACAGACCCACAGAGTAGACCCCGTCTTCCCCCTTCCCATTTGTGTCCTTGTGTTGGTGGGATGTGGGGCCTGTCCATGTCAGCGCAAGTCCCTCTGAGGTGGGGCCTGTGGGGCCTCTAGCTTGCCTGGGCACCCACATCCAGGTCAGATCTGAGAGGTCGGGCATGAAAGCGAAGGACCAAGATAGAGTCTGTAGAAATGTTCATTCCCTAGTAGTTGGTGCCTTTTCTGCAATCAGCAGCGCCATATGGAGTCATTTTCTTTTTCTTTTCTTTTTTTTCTTTTTTTTTTTTTTTTGAGGCAGAGTTTCGCTGTTGTTGCCCAGGCTGGAGTGCAGTGGCGCAATCTCGGCTCACTGCAACCTCCTCCTCCCGTGTTCAAGTAGTTTTCCTGCCTCAGCCTCCCGAGTAGCTGGGATTATAGGCGCGTGCCATCACGCCCGGCTAATTTTGTATTTTTTCAGTAGAGACGGGGTTTCCTTAGGTTGGTCAGGCTGGTCTCGAATTCCCAATCTAAGGTGATCTGCCCGCCTTGGCCTCCCAAAGTGCTGAGATTACATGTGTGAGCCACCACGCCCGGCCCATGTGGAGTCATTTTCTAAACTACAATCCAGAGTTGTATGTCTTATCATTGGGATTTTATGGAGTATATATTGTAAGACATTACAAGAATCCATGTTATTTTAAAACTGTTGCTTGGAGAACGGAAAACGAAAAAGTTCTCAGAATATGCGATGTATCAAAATAAATATATGTTATTTAATGATTTAAGGCACCTACAAAAATATCATCTTGGAATATTTTAAGCCTCCCTTAAGAATCAGGAATTAGATGTCTACTATGTATGAAATTGTTGATACTTTCAAATTACTTGACCTGACAGTAATGGAATAAAAACTCCCCTGGAGACAGTGTGTAAATTTAAAAAGTAATGATATGGTTCCCGTATTTATTTTAAAGATTACATTCAAAACAAGTATTTAAAATACATCTTTCTTTAGGAGTTAAATACAATATTACAATTTTTGTGTTTTAGCTAGAAGAACCACACCTCTTTTGGAATATATTAAAAATAGAAAATTAGAAAAGCAGGTAGGTCTGGCCTTTACCTGATGAACACCCTCCCTGCTTCTGCCATTCTCATCCAGGCAGTTTATACACACGCTCTTCCATGTCTTTAGAGAATTCGAGAAGAGAAGCGAGAAGAACGGAGGAGGAGAGAGTTAGAAAAGAAACGTTTGCGGGAAGAGGAAAAAAGAAGAAGAAGAGAAGAAGAAAGATGCAAAAAAAAAGAGACAGATAAACAGAAGAAAATTGCAGAGAAAGAAGTAAGGATTAAGGTAATTCTGAGGAAACATTTCCTTTTTCCAAAAATAGCTCTGCTATAGTAATTACACTTTTTACATATCTTAGTTCTTTAGAATTTTGAAAACATTCTGAATTAATCTAATATTGTGTTGTTATTTTTTTCCATCTTTTCCATCTTTCTTTCCATCCTACAGCAGTGGTTATCACAGTGCGTCCTGAGCCCTGGGAGTCCTCAGGCTGCTGTTGGGTGCCTGTCCTCCTGGGTGTGCAGTGGGGAGCACACCCCACAGGAGCCCCACGCTGGCACACGTTGGGCTGCTGCTGACGCTCTTTTTTTTTTTTTTTTTTTTAAACTTTCCAACTTTCATTTTCGGCTCAAGGCGTACATGTGCAGGTGTGTTACATGTTCATTGTCAGCTCAACGCGTACACGTGCAGGTGTGTTACGTGTTCATTTTCGACTCAAGGCGTACACGTGCAGATGTGTCACATGTTCATTTTCAGCTCAAGGCGTACACGTGCAGGTGTGTTACGTGTTCATTTTCGACTCAAGGCGTACACGTGCAGATGTGTCACATGTTCATTTTCGGCTCAAGGCGTACACGTGCAGGTGTGTTACGTGTTCATTTTCGGCTCAAGGCTTACACGTGCAGGTGTGCCACATGTTCATTTTCGGTTCAAGGCGTACACGTGCAGGTGTGTTACGTGTTCATTTTCGGCTCAAGGCGTACACGTGCAGGTGTGCCACATGTTTATTTTCGGTTCAAGGCGTACACGTGCAGGTGTGTTACGTGTTCATTTTCGGCTCAAGGCGTACACGTGCAGGTGTGTTACGTGTTCATTTTCGGTTCAAGGCGTACACGTGCAGGTGTGTTACGTGTTCATTTTCGGCTCAAGGCGTACACGTGCAGGTGTGTCACATGGGTAAATCAAGTGTCACTGGGGTTTGGTGTGCAGATAATTTTGTTGCCCAGGTAATCAGCACAGTACCTGATGTTTTTCAGTCTTCACCCTCCTCCCATTCTCCACCCTCTACATTTTCCTTTAAAAAAAAGTTTTCCTCCCAGCACTTTGGGAGGCTGAGGCGGGCAGATCACGAGGTCAGGAGTTCGAGATCACCCTGACTAACATGGTGAAACCCTGTCTCTACTAAAAATACAAAAATTAGCCAGGTGTGGTGGCGGACGCCTTAATCCCAGCTACTCAGGAGGCTGAGGCAGGAGAATCGCTTGAACCCAGGGAGCAGAGGTTGCAGTGAGCCGAGATCGCGCCATTGCACTCCAGCCTGGGCGACAGAGCAAGACTCCCTCTCAAAAAAAAAAAAAAAAAAAAAAAATTTCCTGGCCGGGTGGGGTGGCTGACACCTATAATCTCAGCACTTTGGGAGACCGAGGCAGGCGGATTACTTGAGTTCAGGAGTTTGAGACCAGCTTGGCCAATATGGGGAAACCCCATCTCTACTAAAAACACAAAAATGAGCCGGACGTGGTGGCGTGTGCCTGGAATCCCAGCTACTCAGGAGGCTGAGGCAGGAGAATCACTTGAACCCAGGAGGCGGAGGTTGCAGCGAGCCGGGATCGCGCCACTGCACTCCAGCCTGGGCAACAGAGCAAGACTCTGTCTTAAAAAAAAAAAAGTTTCCCTGATTAAAAAATACACATTTGAAAACCACTGGTTTTGCCTTTCTGTGTGAAGGCTGACTCAGAACCGGGTTTTATCATTTCTTTGGCAGTAGCACTAATGAGTTTCTGTATTTCTTGCTGAGTTTTTTCTGTGACTGATACATTCATTTATGAGGGTGGTTTAATACATAGAGGGAATTTTTCTCTGTGTGAAATGTGTTGGCCAGAATTGGGACCAGCCATTATCTCCTCAGTACTAAACCTAGATTTGAACCTAAGGTATCACTCATTACTTATTATTTATTGAATACCTTATATTCAATAATATTGTACAATATGAGGAAAAAAATGAAATGTCAGGACTTGGGGAAAGAAGATAGCTTAGGAAAGGGTGGGGAAGAGATCATTGAACCATAGATTTGTTTCTGATATGGTCAGCAGTCAAAAACAGAAAAGTTGGCTGGGTATGATGGCTCATTCCTATAATCTCAGGACTTTGGGAGACCAGGGCAGGTGGATTGCTCTAGCCCAGGAGGTCAAGACCAGCCTGGGCAACAGAGAGAGACCCTGTTTCTGTTTTTTGTAGAGATGGGGTTCCCACTATATTGCCCAGGCTGGTCTCGTACTCTTGGACTCAAGTGATCTTCCTGCCTCACCCTCCCAAAGTTTGGGGATTACAGGCGTGAGCCACCATGCCTGGCCTGGTTTAGCTTTTAATAAGTATCTGTGCTCAGTATGGGGGTCTTTCACTTCTAAATCATGTGGAAAATTGAAATTCTTTTAATGCCTGAAAAATGGAATCTGTGGAGAAATGCAAAAGAAGGTGTATCAACAGCTTAAAGAAAGACAGATGGCTCATGGCTATTTTGCTATTTTTTTGTTTGGTTTTGGTGGGGGGGGGGTTTGAGACAGGGTCTCAATGTGTCACCCAGGCTGGAGTGTAGTGGCACAGTCACAGCTCACTGCAGCCTCTACCTCCCAGGCTCAAGTGATCCTCCCGCCTCAGCCTCCCATTACAGGGGTGCAACATCATACCTGAATAGCTAATTTAAAAAAAAATTTGTAGAAGTGGGGGTCTCACTATGTTGTCCAGGCTGGTCTTGAACTCCTGGGCTGAAGTGATCCTCCCACTGCTGGGGTTAGAGGCATGAGCCACCGTGCGTAGCACTCATGGCTATTCTTAATAAAGAGAAATATGGTTTGGGAGGCCGAGGCGGGCGTATCACGAGGTCAGGAGATCGAGACCATCCTGGCTAACACAGTGAAACCCCATGTCTACTAAAAATACAAAAAAATAGCTGGGCGTGGTGGCACACGCCTGTAGTCCCAGCTACTCAGGAGGCTGAGGCAGGAGAATCGCTTGAACCTGGGAGGCAGAGGTTGCAGTGAGCTGAGATCACGCCACTGCACTCCAGCCTGGGCGACAGAGCGAGACTCCGTCTCAAAAAGGCTGGACCGCGGTGGCTCACACCTGTAATCCTGGCACTTTGGGAGGCCGAGGTGGGCGGATCATTAGGTCAGGAGATCGAGACCATCCTGGCTAACACGGTGAAACCCTATCTCTACTAAAAATACAAAAAATTAGCTGGGCGTGGTGGCGGGAGCCTGTAGTCCCAGCTACTTGGAAGGCTGAGGCAGGAGAATGGCATGAACCCGGGAGGCGGAGCTTGCAGTGAGCCAAGATTGCGCCACTGCACTCCAGCCTGGGCGACAGAGCAAGACTCCGTCTCAAAAAAAAAAAAAAAAAGAAAAGAAATACGGCACACAGAACAGCTCAGCTGTTTAATGTTCCTCTGAGGATGCTAAGCAGTGAGCTTATGTGTGGCCACATGGGTGAACACACACAGGCGAGGGCTGGGAGGGAGCACAGCTGCCCATGCGCTCCGCTTGGCCTCCGGAAGCCTTGCAGGGCGTGGCAGAGCTGGCCTGCTCCCCAGCTCGTCTCCAGCAGCTCTGGCCTGCTCCCCAGCTCGTCTCCAGCGGCTCTGGCGTGCTCCCCAGCTCGTCTCCAGCGGCTCTGGCGTGCTCCCCAGCTCGTCTCCAGCGGCTCTGGCCTGCTGGTTTCTCATGAATGCACCAGCGGATTCCACCTCAGGACTCCGCACGTTTCCCTCCACAGGGACTTCCCCAGATGTGCCCGTGGCTCCTTCTTGGCATCTGGTCTTAGTTCCCGTCTTGGCTCTGCAGAGAGCCCTCCTGGGCCCTCCTCTTCCTGCGTCTCTGATGCTTTACTCTCCCTTCATGTCTGTTCGTAGCTTTTGATGCTACCTGAGGTTATCTTATTCCTTTGTTTCCTTTTTCATATTTTTGCCACTGTTCACAGCATTCCCCCTTGACCACCGTTGCCTCAGGTGGTGCATCAGGCGCAAGTTCCTTCGAGGCAGGGGCACCTCTTGTCTCATTCACAGCCATTCCCTAGTGCCTAGCACAGGGTCTTAGGCCCTGGTTCCTGCACACAGCTCCTCAGACCTCGGGAATCTGCAGTAATATGAGTGTCTTATATGCCAATGAGAGGACTAGGGGCTGGGGGCCCCAGGCAGCTTCAGGATGGGGACTAGTTGGCCAGAAAGCCAAGGCAGGACTAGAGGGTTGGGACTTTCAGTCCCACCCTAGCCTCCGAGAGGGCAGAGGGCCTAGAGAGAGGTCACCGGTGGCCAGTGACTTAATCAGTCACACCTACATAATGAAACCTTAATAATGCCTAAAGACAGGGCTTCCAGGGGCCAGGCACAGTGGCTCACGCCTGTAATCCCAGCTCTTTGGGGGGCCAAGGCAGGTGGATCCCGAGGTCAGGAGTTTGAGACCAGCCTGGCTAATATGGTGAAACCCCGTCTCTACTAAAAATACAAAAATTAGCCAGGCATGGTGGCGCATGCCTGTAGTCCCAGTTACTCAGGAGGCTGAGGCAGAAGAATCGCTTGAACCCAGGAGGCGAAGGTACAGTGAGCCGAGATCGCGTCACTGCAGTCTAGCTTGGGTGACAGAGCAAGACTCCATCTCAAAAAAAATAAAAAAAATAGACGGGCCTTCCGGGTTGGTGAGCACATCAAGGTGCTGGGAGGGTTACTGCATGGAAGCTCCAAGTACCACTACACCATACCCCATACCCACCTTGTGCATTTTTTCCGTTTGGCTGTTCTGGGTTGTATCCTTTATGATTAGCCAATAATCGAGAAAACAGTGCCTTTCTGAGTTCTGTGAGCCATTTCAGCAACTTACCAAATCTGAGGAGAGGCCATCGGGAACCCCTGAATTTATTGCTGACTGGTCAGAAGTACCGGTGACACACTGGGACTTGGAACTGTCGTCTGAAAGGGGGGCAGTCTTGTGGGACTGAGCCCTTGACCCGTGGGTTCTGGTGCTAACTCCAGGTCGATGATCTCAGAGTTGAGTTGAATGTGGAGCACGCAGCTGGTGTCGGAGGGGTGGTATTGAAAAAGACGTGCAGTGTCAGAAATGTAAGAACAGTTCCTAGGCACACAGAATATTTGTTGAATGGGTGGATGGAGATTTGCACTTCCTATGGTTCACATTTATTACAGACATGTTACTGTTGCAATTTTTATAAAAGATGGGCAGTTACCAGAAAGGAAATGTTTAAGTTCCCAGATTCCACATAGGCAGAATAAGAGGATGTTCACAGCTGACATGGGGCCCACGCTTGATGAGAAGCGGCTTCCAATGCTCCACCTTGCATGATGCGTTGTGTTCCCAAGTGAACACGTGTGATTGAATGCATCTGTGTATGGTCTTGCTATGCTGCAATTATGAGTGAGAACAGAATTCTCAGATGTACACCTTCCATTTCTGTTCTACAAATGATCTGTCTGTGGTGCTTCCGTTTTTTTTTTTTTTCTCCCTTTTCTCAAGTTAGCTGAGGTGCTTTAGTTTCAAAAACTATACAGAGAGCAGGGAGAAAGGCCAGGGGCATACAGGGCAGATGAAATATGTCGTGGCGACTTGTTCATTAATTCTGTTTCAGG
The DNA here is from genome assembly GCF_000001405.40 of Homo sapiens. Lineage (NCBI taxonomy): Eukaryota > Metazoa > Chordata > Mammalia > Primates > Hominidae > Homo > Homo sapiens. The sequence goes on from NC_000013.11 coordinate 114,297,365, forward strand.
AAAGAGAATAATCAGTGTTTTGAAAACTATAAACTATTCTAAAAATCATCAGTAGGAAGCAGCCTTTTAAAAATTTTTTTTTCCTTATTACAAAACTAATACTTGTCTATGTCAGGAAAACTAGACCCTATAGATGAAAGGAAATAAAGTCATTTCAGTTCTGCCATCTAGAAATAATCACTATTGGCCGGGCATGGTGGCTCATGCCTGTAATCCCAGCACTTTGGGAGGCCAACGCTGGGGGATCACAGGTCAGGAGTTCAAGACCAGCCTGGCCAACATGATGAAATCCCATCTCTACTAAAAATACAAAAATTAGCCAGGCACGGTGGCAGGAGCCTGTAATCCCAGCTACTTGAGAGGCTGAGGCAGGAGAATTGCTTGAACCAGGGTGGCAGAGGTTGCAGTTAGCTGAGATCAAGCCACTGCACCCCAGCCTGGGTGACAGAGTGAGACGTCGTCTCAAAAAAAACAACAAACAAAAACTACAAAAGTTAGCCAGGTGTGGTGGCACGCCCCTGTAGTCCTGGCTATTCAGGAGGCTGAGGCAGTAGAGTCGCTTGAACCCAGGAGACGGAGGTTGCAGTGAGCCGAGACTGCACCACTGCACTCCAACCTGGACGACAGAGCGAGACTCCATCTCAAAAAAGGAAATAATCACTATTAATACAGTGCTGCAGAGCCCTTTAGGTGGTGGTGTGTGTGTGAACATAAATAGAAGTGGGGGCTGGGCACGGTGGCTCACGCCCATAATCCCAGCACTTTGGGAGGCCAGGGTGGGTGGATTGCCTGAGGTCAGGGGTTTGAGATCAGCCTGGCCGACATACTGAAACCCCGTCTCTACTAAAAATACAAAAAATTAGCTGAGCGTGGTGGTGGGCGCCTGTAATCCCAGCTACTTGGGAGGCTGAGACAGGAGAATCACTTGAACCCGGGAGGAGGAGGTTGCAGTGAGCCAAGATCGTGCCATTGCACTCCAGCCTGGGCAACAAGAGTGAAACTCCATCTCAAAAAAAAAAAAAAAAATTAGACGGGTATGGTGGCGCATGCCTGTCGTCCCAGCTACTCAGGAGGTGGAGGCAGGAGAATCACTTGAACCTTGGAGGCGGAGGCTGCAGTGAGCCGGGAGTGCGCCACGGCACTTCAGCCTGGGCGACAGAGCGAGACTCTGTCTCAAAAGAGAAAAGTGTAAGTGAGATTGTGGTGCATGTTCTGTTTTTTAGCCCTTTATTCATTACGTGAACATCTTTGCATCACATTAACCTACCTTACTTTTCATGACTAAAAAATATTTCATTCACTGAATGTTCCACCACGTATTAAACCAAAAACCTCATTTTTGGACCTTTAGCTTTAATTCTTTGCTGTGCAAACATTTGGCTTCAATATTGGGGTATATTTGTAATTATTTATTTAACAGCTTCTTTTAAAATATGCTCTCAAGGTGATACTTTACTAACATTGTAATTTCTCAGCTTCTTAAGAAACCAGAAAAGGGAGAGGAACCAACCACAGAGAAACCAAAAGAAAGAGGAGAGGAGATTGATACTGGAGGTGGCAAGCAGGAATCCTGTGCCCCCGGTGCAGTCGTAAAAGCCAGGCCCATGGAAGGCTCGCTGGAGGAGCCCCAGGAGACGTGAGCGTGCTTTCATTGTTATGACCACGTCAGCTCCCAGTCATGGTGACGTAGGCTTTGTCAGTATGAGTATGCCTATTTCACACTGTTCTTGGAATCCAAGACTTTCCAGGGTGTGCGAGTACACGTTAGCCTTCATTTCCCATCAGCATGGCAGGAACGTAGTGAACTCGTCTTGTCTGCAGTCTCAAGTCTGTCTTCAGATCGGGAGTTTCTTCCTGTTGTTTGCTTTGCTTTTGCCTCCATGTCCTCCTTTTACTCCTGAGCCGCCTCCTGGATTCCTGCTGTTGCATGTCAGGTCTTCAGGATCTGTCTTCCCAGTCTTTCTTTTTGTTTTTTGTTTTTTATTTTTCTCTGTGTTTGTGATATCTTGCCCTTTGCTCTTTTATCCCCCTTGCAATTTATCTACAGAATTGCATATTTGGGAACCCCCTCTTTTAGGTCTGGCAGATCTTTTGTGATAGAGAAACAGAATTTTAAGTGCTGTGATCCTTTGGTTGAAGCTGTCCCTGGCTCCTCTGGCTGTGGATCTTGACCAGCAGCTTTGGCTGTGCACTGTGGGTCCTCCCTTTTTCTTTTCCTTTGCTGCATATGACAGTGCAGCTCTATGGAGGGAGCTCATCTGCGAAAGGGACAGACACAGCATTATCTGCCCGGTGGGCCAGAGAGACCAGCCAGATGCCAGTCAGGAGGGATCCTGTCCCTCTTGCTCCTGGCATCCACCATCCTCAGGGCCCCAGGCACCTGGGCTTACCTTCCCCTCCGGGACTCCTGCCCACTCACTGCCTCTCGCCACCCACAGTCTCCTGGTGCCCAGGGCCACTTGGCCCACAGGGGATGATGGACGTGGATTTTAGGTGGGAAGACTAATGCGATTAGGCTGCCGGCTTCCCAGAGCCATAGTCGTAGGTGTGATTTCTCACTGCCTTTCGTTCAGAGTTGATGAAGTATTTTTTCTACTTCTTGGGAGTTTTGGTTTATTGCTTTGTTTATAAAATTTATATATGATTATCAAATCCATGATTGTGAAGCACTGTGATGATGTTACCGGTGTTGTTACTGTGACAGTTGATGACACAGCAGGACCTACTGCCACGTGTCTGCTGTGAATTCATACTTGGTTACAGATCCTTATGGTCCCCAACAGCCCTGGCAAATGAGCGAAGCAGCCATTTATTTACTATTCATTTAATATTCTGATAAATGCATAAAGATAATTAATCTGCCATTATTAAATGTCAGTTAATTTTACTCTGCACATCATGATGGATGTGCACCTGGGCTCCCAGGACAGCCACTGGACCACTTTAGTCTCAGTCATTTTATCTGTAGAAAAGAAGGTTTATTTTATTTTGTTTTATTATTTTATTTTATTTTAATTTTATTTTTGAGACAAAGTCTCGCCCTGTCGCCCAGGCTGGAGTGCAGTGGCACGATCTCGGCTCACTGCAACCTCCGCCTCCCAGGTTTAAGCAATTCTGCTTCAGCCTCCCAAGTAGCTGGGATTACAGGCACCCGCCACCATGCCTGGCTAATTTTTGTTTTTTTTTTGTTTTTTTGAAACGGAGTTTTCCTCTTGCCCAGGTTGGAGTGCAATGGTGCGATCTCAGCTCACCACAACCTCTGCCTCCTGGGTTCGTGCAATTCTCCTGCCTCAGCCTCCTGAGTAGCTGGAATTACAGGCATGCCCCTCCATGCCTGGCTAATTTTGTATTTTAAGTAGAGACAGGGTTTCTCCATGTTGGTCAGGCTGGTCTCGAACTCCTGATTTTAGGAGATCTGCCTGCCTTGGTCTCCCAAAGTGCTGGGATTACAGGTGTGAGCCGCTGTGCCTGGCCTAATTTTTGTATTTGTAGTAGAGACAGGATTTCATCATGTTGGCCAGGCTGCTCTCAATCTCCTGACCTCAAATGATCTGCCTGCCCCTGGCGTCCCAGAGTGCTGGGATTACAGGCACATGCCACCACACCTGGCTAATTTTTGTATTTTCAGTAGAGAGGGGGCTTCACCATGTTGACCAGGCTGGTCTCCAACTCCTGGCCTCAGGTGATCCCACCCACCTTGGCGTCCCAAAGTGCTGGGATTTACAGGCGTGAGACACCATGCCTGGTCAAAAGAAGGTATTTACTTTGGAGGGTTATTGAGAATTAGAAAATATGTATAAAAAGTACCTTAGCATGGCCAGGCACGGTGGCTCACACCTGTAATCCCAGCACTTTGGGAGGCCAAGATGGGCATATCATAAGGTCAGGAGATCGAGACCATCCTAACTAACACAGTGAAACCCCGTCTCTACTAAAAATACACAAAAAATTAGCCGGGCGTGGTCGCGGGCACCTGTAGTCCCAGCTACTCGGGAGGCTGAGGCAGGAGGATGGTGTGAACCCAGGAGGCGGAGCTTTCAGTGAGCTGAGATCCCGCCATTTTACTCCAGCCTGGGCAACAGAGCGAGACTCCATCTCAGAAAAAAAAAAAAAAAGTACCTTAGTATAAGGCATATTGCCTATCTGTCACTCAACTGAAATGACAGATACTATTACTATGATTTATTCCTCTTTGTAGTGGTTTTTATCAACGCCTGCTGTGTGCCCATCGCAGTGCAGCCTCAGCAGTGCAGCGCTGAGCACTTCGCATGGGTCCCTGTTGTCTGGGAACCTGTGGTCTAGAAAGGAGGGTGGGCAGCCAACCGGCGGTTTACTGCAGTTGCTGATCATTTGTGTTGAATCATAGGTCACACAGCGGCAGTGATAAAGAGCACAGGGATGTGGAGAGATCTCAAGAACAAGAATCTGAAGCACAAAGATACCATGTGGATGACGGCAGGAGGCACAGAGCTCACCACGAGCCTGAACGGCTTTCCAGAAGGAGTGAGGATGAGCAGAGATGGGGGAAAGGACCTGGCCAAGACAGAGGGAAGAAGGGGAGCCAGGACAGCGGGGCTCCGGGGGAGGCCATGGAGAGACTGGGAAGAGCGCAGAGGTGTGACGACAGTCCAGCACCCAGAAAAGAGCGACTGGCAAACAAGGTTTTTATTAAACCCAAAAAGAAAAATGTGTCTGGCTGTCTTAAGGTCCAGGCTGCATGCTGACCATGTCACCCCCACTTGGCCTTGTGTCTTGGGGAACGCAGTGCTTTGAGCATTTTCAAGAGCAGTTTTTCCTGAAAGTCAGATCCCAGAGTGAGACTAGTCATCATCTTTTCTCAGATAATCAAATTATTTTTCACCAGGAAAAAGAAAGATTTTATTTAGTATAAAACTAGCACGTTTATATGATTCACTTGAGAATAAGATTATTAAATTTACCCTTGAGACAGGAAGGAAAGTTTTAATGATATTTCATGGAGGTTTCTTCCACATTATTAACAACATTCTGATTATTGGTGAATATTCCCATGGCTCACAAACACCTGTAAGTTAGATCTGCACGGACGGTGAGCACAGGACTGTGGTTACCCCCTTAGCCAAGCAAACAACTTTTTTTTTTCAGGAGCTAATTTTTGTTCAGGTTGCATTTTCCCAGCGCAGCACTACAGATGGCATCACCTTTCTGACAGCACCAGGCCCCACCCTGGCCTCCTAGCAAACTGAGGGCTGCCTAGGGTTCCAGTTCCCACTCACCTCCCTCCCCATGTCTAACCCCTGGCAGCCACTGTCTGTTCTCTGCCTCTGTGATTTTGTCATTTCAAGAATGCTTGATAAATGGAAACACACAGTATGTGAGCTTTGAGAGTGGCTTTCTTCACTCAGTCTAATTCCTTTCAGATCCTTCCAGGTTGTTGTGTGTATGAACGATGTTCACTTTGAAACTGTTTCAGTGTAGCTGGGCATGGTGGCTCACACCTATAATCCCAGCACTTTGGGAGGCTGAGGCGGGTGGATCACCTGAGGTCAGGAGTTCGAGACCAGCCTGGCCAACATGGCGAAACCCTGTCTCTACTAAAAATACAAAAAATAGCTGGGCGTGGTGGCGCGCCTGTAATCCCAGCTACTCAGGAGGCTGAGGCAGGAGAATTGCTTGAACCTGGGAGGCGGAGGTTGCAGTGAGCCAAGATGATGCCATTGCACTCCAGCCTAGGCAAGAAAAGCAAAATTACCTCTAAAAAAAAAAAGTTTCAGTGAAGTCAAGGCTGAAAGCCAGAGGAGAGCCTTCTTGTCTTCACCCTTGAATGAACACCTCTAGAATACTCCAGTTCTCTGGGGTTGCCTGGACCTCGGGGTGCACAAAGTACAGCCATGCGTCTTTTTGATAGGGCGTTGCTCATAGGAGTCCTCAGTCTTCAGTTGGCTTATTTTAGCAGTGGTGAATGGCCTGGTGTTTCCCCCGACCTGAGGTGGGGGAGCATTTGCTCCTGTGTTTAGCCTCACAGTGCTGTGGTGGGAATGAGGCGCTGTGTGCAGGAGCTACTTTCCCGGGAGCCTGGCATTTGTCATGTACTTCTAAGGTCAGGCTCCATGCTCCATCTGTGTATACAGGTATTGCCCTGGTAAGAAGCAGAATTGTCGGCCCGGTGCGGTGGCTCATGCCTATAATGCCAGCACTTTGGGAGGCCAAGGCGGGTGGAACACCTGAGGTCAGGAGTTCGAGACCAGCCTGGCCAACATAGTGAAACCCCATCTCTACGGAAAATACAAAAATTAAGCGGGCATGGTGACACATGCCTGTAATCCCAGCTACTCAGGAGGCTGAGGCAGAAGCATCACTTGAACCCAGGAGGCAGAGGTTGCAGCGAGCCCAGATTGCGCCATTGCACTCCAGCCTAGGCAACAAGAGTGTAACTTTGTCTCAGAAAAAAAAGAAAAACAAACAGAGCTATGCGTGCTGGCTCCAGGCAGCCTGTCCAGGGGCCTGCTGAGCCTGTTCCCACCCCTCCCATTGGTCAGGTTCATACCAAGGAAAAGAAAATTAAGTTAAACCCCCTGGTGGTAAGCAGATGTGGGCTTCCACACACAGTCCAGGAGGAGGTAGAGGTGAGCTGGTGAATCCTGGAGAAGGAGCGCATGAGATGTACCCACATGGTCGTCCTTGCAGCCCACACTTGGGCTCCTGGTGGCTGTTGGAGGCTAAGGCTGCAGCTCTGCAGGGAGAATAGGCAGGGAGCGGGAGGCGCGTGGAGCAGGAGGCTCACGGAAGCTGGAAGCCGCCTTCCTCCTCTGCCACCCCTTCAGTGCTGGGGCAGGGCTGGTGGCCCCATCAGGAGGAATTGTGCTGCTGTCGCTGCTGACACTAGCCTTCAGGGCCACTCTATGCTTCCCTGGCTGTTGCCTTCTTCAGGCCCTCAACAGCTGCCCTTCATGGACTTCATGGGTCATTTTTATTGCTTCACCTCCAGGAGTTTAATAAAATGATGGGGTGATGTCTTCTAAAAAGGGACCAGTTCAGTCTCCCTGCTGGTACATGCTAGGCAGGGATAAGCCCCATGGAAATTGCTTACTACTCACGTTAATAAGTTTTAGTTGGCAGATCTGAAACCATCTGTGAGGGTCCACATCTCATTTTGTTCACTTCCCAACTCAGAGGGGGACGTCATGATTGTACTGTTCCCACAGATTACATGTTCTTGTTTGAGCAATAACATTTGCCCAGATAACCAGTGTTTACATGGCTTTTTTAATTGCCTTAGAATGCCTGGTTTCTGAGATAGTGCTGTGAAAAAAGGGCTGATTTTTAGCTGCCTAGTTGATTTTCTTTGGACAATTCATATCATCAAGTTCTAGAAATATAGGGAGATATTGACCCTTCTGTGTTGCTACCTCTTGGAAGAGTAACATGCCCTCTTATCCTGGCAGGACCGGCCAGCCTTGCAGCTGTATGATCCAGGAGCTCGCTTCCGAGCGCGAGAGTGTGGCGGAAACAGGAGGATCTGCAAGGCAGAAGGTTCGGGGACTGGTCCTGAGAAGAGGGAAGAGGCAGAGTGAGTCACTGCACGCACCTGGCCTCCATGGACGAGCAAGGGCATCCCAGAAACGTGTAAATGACCCCGAGTGTGACTGGGAAGGAGAACTTATTCCTTACCAGGAAACTGGAAGCTAAAAATACAGAGGGTGACGTAGAAACACGCAGAAACCATTCTAAAGAAAGTAGTGATCTTGTATTAAATTGAGCAGAATTCTCACAGATTTTACCATTCCTGTTATAAACTAGTATTTGTTGTTTAGCCAAAACAGAAAATGATTTCCACTGGACAGTAGAAAAATATGTGTAAAATAGGGAAGAAAGTTAGTATTGGATCAGTGTGAGTCCTGAAGCACTTTCAGTGCTGTGAGAACGACATCCACTTTGGGTTTCATTCGTTTGTAAGCAGAGGAGCTGTCAGTCACTCGTGCTTCTCGGTGGCCTCTGAGCCATGGTGTCGAGTGAAGAGTAGTTCTTGTTTGTTACAACCTTTGTGAGTCAGCCATGCCCGCAAAGCGTGCTGTGTTTTAGTCCTGGTAGGAATATTTATCAGAGTTCACACTATATAAAACCCAACAGCTTCAACTATTGCCCTTTCAACAGTTTTGCCACTGACCGGATAGAAACGGTTTCAGTCTCTGGATGGATGTGTTTGTGGTTTGTAACCATTACGGTTTAAACCATGGTTTAAGAATTTGCCCAAATAACAGAAATTTTGTTCGGGAAGGGATAAACTAGATATAGCATACAGAGCCTGTTTTTGAGTTTTAGATACTTTATTTGTAAATAACTTAAAATAGCTTTCTGAAACCGTGCATTCTGTAGTTTCTTCCTTTCAGTGAAATTGCTAAATGTCAATGTATTTTTGGCACTGCGATTTTAACCATTTATTAAATAAAAATTTTGTTAAAGAAGTACTGAAATATTCTTTGAATCTGTGTCAGGGAAATTCTGATTTGTTAGTTCAAATGCCTGACAGCATAATCATACAGATCTTCTCTTGTCTTGGTTTGGATGACACTGAGCAGCTGTCAGAAACGTGCAAAAAATTCCAAAAGGTAAGGCCTTAAAATATTTTACTGGTAAATATTACACAGACTTTCAAAAGGACAGAGAATGACTTGGAAAATCTTTTTTTTTTTTCTTGGAGATGGAGTCTCGCTCTGTCACCCACGCTGGAGTGCAGTGGCGTGATCTCAGCTCACCGAAACTCACGCCTCCTGGGTTCAAGCAATTCTCCTACCTCAGCTTCCAGAGTAGCTGGGATTGCAGGTGTGCGCCACCACACCTGGCTAATTTTTCTTAAACAAACACTGTCTACATCTGCCCTATCAGAGCAAGAGAGAAAGACAAAACACTAGGTTATGACAAGCAAACTCACCCACCCACTCTTTAAAAAAAAAAAAAATTCAGGGCCAGGCATGGTGGTTCACGCCTGTAATACCAGCACTTTGGGAGGTCGAGGAGGGCAGATCACGAGGTCAGGAGATCGAGACTATCCTGGCTAACACGGTGAAACCCCGTCTCTACTAAAAATAAAAAAGTAAAATAAAATTAGCCGGGTGCGGTGGCGGGCGCCTGTAGTCCCAGCTACTCAGGAGGCTGAGGCAGGAGAATGAACCTGGGAGGCGGAGCTTACAGTGAGCCAAGATCGTGTCACTGCACTCCAGCCTGGGCAAAAGTGCAAGACTCCGTCTCAAAAAAAAAAGAATACTAAACACAATTCAGAAGAGCCACCCAGAGGGAGACAACAATGTCACAACTACTTGTGCCACACACACAGACTGTGCTCTTGTCTATTGGTTCTACTTGACATCAAAGGGAGGCTAGTTGTTTGTTTCATCAATGAACCACAGCTGCAGGTGGATTTCCACACCAGGATGAATGAAGACTCAGACATCACCTTCCATTTCCAAGTGTTCTTTGGCCGTTGTGTGGTCATGAACAGCGTGAGAATGGGGCCTGGAAGCCTGAGATGAAATCCAAAAATATGCCCTTTCAGAATGGCAAAGAATTTGACCTGAGCATCTTGGTGCTGGACAGTAAGTACCAGGTAATGGTCGATGGCCAATGCTTTTAGAGCTTTGACCATCGAATCCCGCCTGAGTCTGTGAAGATGGTGCAAGTGTGGAGAGATGTCTCCCTGACCAAAGTGAGTGCCTGCAATTGAGGGTGATAACCAGACTTCCTGTTGACAAAGGAATCCGTTTCTGTGTGACCATGGGATTCCCAGAGCCAGCTAACAGCATAATTCCTCCTCACTTCAACCCTTACTCTTGCTCATTAAAACTTCGCCAAACTTAAAACAAACAAAAAACACTGGATTTTAAAAACACATACGCCCATGCTTCTTCACAAGGGGAATATCTTATCTGTAAAATAAAGCCATATTCCCACTGGAAAGTCGGTGATCATTAAGAATTTCTAGATTGCTTAAATAACAGTACCTTGCATTTATGAAGTTCTTTATGTTTCTCAGGCAGAATATTGATAGCTGATAAAACTGATGAGAGTCCATTATATTACCCTCTCTTCCTTGAATGTTTAAAATTTCTAGTAATAATGCATTAAAAAGAAAATTCATCTCGGATGGGGATGTATTTTCCCAGTTGGTTTATCTATCAGTGGATGAGTTGAATACCTTTTACTAATAGAATAAGATAGTGTTGGACAATTCTACTCCAGTTTTTAATTTTATTAATATAACTACTGAGAAATCTTGCTCACACAGTAAAAAGGAAGAGAGGAGTTTTGTTAGGTTAACACCACTTAATTCTTTAATTTCTGGCCGGGCGTGATGGCTCATGCCTGTAATCCCAGCACTTTGGGAGGCTGAGGCAGGCTAATCACTTGAGGTCAGGAGTTCAACACCAGCCTGGTCAACATGGTGAAACCCTGTCTCTACTAAAAATACAAAAAGACTATCTGGGCATGGTGGTACACGCCTGTAATCCCAGCTCCTGGGAAGGCTGAGGCAGGAGAATCACTTAAACCGGGGAGACAGAGGTTGCAATGAGCCGAGATTGTGCCACTGCACACCTGCCTGGGTGACATAGTGAGACTCCATCTCAAAAAAAAATTGTTTTCTTTCAAGTTATATTGCAAAATGTTCAGTTATCTATAATCAGTATTACTTCTAATGGTCTACCATCTCATAATTGTTTCAATTTTATTGAAAGCTAACGATTGGGAATCACTTAACTTTTAAAAGGATTTATTATTCAATCACTAAAATCATCCAGTTTCTCTGTTTCTGAGAAGTAAATATAAAAGGTTTCCCAGGACTTACCAGCTAACTATTAATTACACCTGTTGCTTTTCCACTCTTGGAGAGAAAGAGCTCAATCTGACATATTCAGAAAGGTTTGGGGGATTAGCAGTGATTTCAGCACATCTTTGTCAGTGCAATATTTTTATAAAGTGTTCAATGCATATTTGCCAAAGCCTTGGATTGCAGATTTAATTCATCCAATTTCTGGAAAATGTAGTAAAGTCAAGATTAAAATTATATAGAGCAAATAGTCTTTCTCATTACCTAATTTAAATAATACAATATAATGTTTAGCTACATGTATGAGTTATTGGTGAGGCCAGCCGTGTGATAATGGGAGTTCTATTTCTTCAGTAAATATGTGTATGAATATGTAAAACTCTAGCATGGGGCTTTTGGGAATATTGAAAAGATTTTTTAAATTATAATTTTGTTTTACAACATGACCAAGTGTTTTACATGTATTTAAGAAAACATTAAAGTATATGCTGCTGAAAACTAATTGCATTTATCATTTAGTTTATAACTTTTCTAACTAATGGAAGGTGGAAATAAAATTTTTTTTTTGAGACAGGGTCTTACTCTGTTGCCCAGGCTGGAGTGCAGTGGCACAGTCTCGGCTCACTGCAACCTCCACCTCCCAGGTTCGAATGATCCTCCCGCCTCAGCCTCCTGAGCAGCTGGGACTACAGGCGTGCGCCACCACGCCTGGCTAAATTTTTTGTATTTTTAGTAGAGACGGGGTTTCCCCATGTTGGCCAGGCTGGTCTTGAACTCCTGACCTTAGGTGATAACACCCACCTTGGCCTCCCAAAGTGCTGGGATTAACAGGCGTGAGCCACTGTGCCTGGCCAGAAATAAAATATTTAATTGGATAAAGAATGACTGCAACTGGGAAACATTTGGTAGAAACAGGTTTTAACTATCTTAATGATTACTGCACACTTTATTAGGATGAAACCACATAAAAACTTACCCTTAGGTTTTATAGGATGTATTTTGGAAACAGCCCCATTAGCAAATTGCTTAAACTTTGATATATGTTCCTTGTTCATTCTGTGTCTGAGTCATGTTTATGGAGCTGGGGTCTTGCTGTGTTGCCCAGGCTGGAGGCCATTGACAATTTACGGGTGTGATCACAGTGCACTGCAGCCGCAAACTCCTGGCCTCAAGCAGTCCTCCCACCTCAGCCTCTCAAGTGCATGTTTTTGCCTTTCTGAAAATCATACTTTAAGCCCATCCCCTTACCTGTTTCCCCAAACTGTCTCTCAAATCTTTTATTCTTATTGGGTCCTGATACTCATCCTATGAAGTAAGTATTCTCTATTAATGGTCAGAGTTCTTGTTACTGTAATTAAATCAGTATAAAATAATGGCATCTAACATTGATTCTGTTCAGTGTGCTAGCACTAAGTGCTCTGAACACTTCATGCTGTCTTATGCCAAAACAAGCTTATAAGGTGGGTACTATCGTTCCACTGCATGCAAACATATGAGAAAGTAGCCTTGCCCAAGTTCACATTCAAGCATGTGCACGCGCACACAGTAAGTTACAGAGGCAAATTCTAACATAGGTTGGTCTGACTTCACAGCCAAAGCTCTCAGCGACTGTGCCTGCCATTCCCAGAACAGGAGAAAGTATGTTTTCAACCAGCATTAAAGCTGTAGGTCTCTAGTGTTGCCAGTGCCTTACCTCAGCTTTAGTGATGGCAGGTGGTAGAAGTCCTTGCTCGGAGAGGGAGCCTGGCTGCACACCTGGTACACAATGCGGGGCAGGAGAGACCATGGGCTCTCTCTGCAGTTCTGCAACCACAAGCAGTATCCAGGGCCAGGCTGGTTTCTATGCTCACCACTCCTGCTTTTTTTTTTCTTCAACCAGCAGAGCAGGTGACCATAGTTCTTGGGCAGCCTGCTTGAAACAAAGTGCCCTCTGCTGCTCTTTTCATGAAGAGTGTAGCAGGATTGATTGAGGCTGGCTTTGCACTTACACGGTAAACTGGCCATATGAGAACTTAGCTGCTCTGCCGGCCAGCACCAGGCTCCCAGTTGCCTTTCACTCGCTCACTGGCGCTCAACTAGCATTGATTGAGTGCCTGCAATGCAGCAGTCAGTGCCCATCTGCCACCCCTGGCAGCTGTGTGGACCTAGACTGCCCTTCAGCAAAGTCTGCTGCTCTGCCTGAGAGGAAAGGAAGAGCCCCATGCCCACCAGCAAAGGCTTCTGGGGCCTGGGCATCCTCTCCTCCCTCCAAAACTGGGGCTAGTGAATGGTTAAAAAAAAAAATTAAGAAAATATTAATGGACTTGATTCTAATTTTTATATTTGATTTTTATTTTTCAGTCCTATTTAAAAAAATGTCTAAAACTCGGAAATAAGGCAAAAAAGAGTGATTGCATGGCTGTGTCATGTCTGACAAGCTCCGATTATTTAACAGTTGACCCACATTTGTGCCCACACTGTGACATCACATGTTTCCTTACGGATTTTTGCCCAGTAGAGATGTGAGTGATTTCTATAACATGGCCTCAAAGGTGGCAGTTGTGCTTCCCTGTAGGATCCTAACCACTTTTGTTTCTAACTGGCCATTTGACTCCACTTTTTCTAGTGGCTGCACGTACTCAGCTTTATGAACCTTCTGAACTAGCTTCATCCTCCTCTGGATTCCCTCATGAATGAGTTAAATAAATCCTCTGAGATTGAGACCGTCCTGGCCAACATGGTGAAACCCTATCTCTACCAAAAATACAAAAATTAGCTGGGCGTGGTGGCAAGTGCCTGTAGTCCCAGCTACTCATGAGGCTGAGGCAGGAGAATCACTTGAACCCGGGAGGTGGAGGTTGCAGTGAGTAGAGATCGCACCACTGCACTCCAGCCTGCCGACAGAGCAAGACTCCGTCTCAAAAAAAAATACAAAATAAAATAAATCCTCTGATATGTGTTCACTTTATATTCGTGTGAGTCATGTGTTTAACTTTTGAGAACTATACTTTGACATTCCCCAAAGCCCAGCAACAGAGCTAGATACTCAGGAGGAATTCCATTTTATCATACTTCCCATTAAGTAACTTATTTTAGTTCCCATTATTTTGCATTATTATAAATTAAGTAGAAATAGCAGAATAATTTGTCCTTTTTTATTATAAAGTAGCTAAGTTGATTATATTAGATCTAAATTATAAGCTGGACTGCTTTTATTATTTCTCTTACAGGAAGCACTTAATAATTTATTTCTAATTTTTATTATGTTCCTTGTAATACATATTAATGCAGCAATTTGAATGGAAAAATTAAGTCTGACTTTCTGACAGAAAGCCAGTCTGATTTTGGCTGCTTCATTTGACAACATGATTCTGTGTAGGTTTTGAATATGTGCAGATACTCAGCACTGTTATTCTTTATACACAGAAGACAAATGACAAAGTCCAGTGCCATCTCAGCTAATGAGTTTGCAGCTCCTCAAAGGCTGTCAGGCTGCCACTTTCTACTGCAATTGTAGTTCACCTGCCTCTACCCATTCCCTGATTCAAGTCTGGTCCCTGGAACATAGTATAGGTTGAGAAAACATCAAAATAAACTGTTGAGAAGTATATGTTCAATAGATCCTTAAGTGAAATTTTGAAAGTCCATAAGGGTCTGGTTTTAGTACAGGATTTTATGAGAGTTATTTCTGCTTTCTTTGGTTACTTTAAAGTTTAGTGCAATATACTGGGAACCTTTCAAAAGGCCAAATTGGGAGTTTATTTGCATTATTCATCTTGAACTATTTAATATTCTATAACTACAATAGCTTTTTTAACATGATTTCAATTCAGAATAATAGCAGAGGGTGTTTTGGTTTTTGTTATTTCGTCACCAAGAGTTGCCTTCTGCTAGAGTTTTGTTCAGTGTTCAATTGGAATAGGTCTCTTGGGATCATCAACTCATTCTGACACTTCAGGAAAAAACAACTGAAGCAGCCATTCAAATTAGGTCCTGCAGCCACAACGAACCTGTTTCATATTAAGAGTCAGGATCTCAAAAAGTTCTCAATCAGTAAATCTTTGCTATTCAGAGAAAATAAAAGATCCTCTCATTTCTGCATTTAACATTTACAGTTTACAAACTGTTTTCATTGGCTCTTTTAAAAGCTTGTAACTAGGTGGATACTTTTTAAAGAAATCTATTAAATTTAATGAATCAATTTTGCTGCAAAAACAAAACTTAGAAAAATCCTAAAATATTTAATATTGATATTTGAATCCTAGAAATCAGAATCATTCCGGAAATTAACACAGGATCCTAAATTTTGCATGAAAGGGAGGTAGAGCCAGGCGCTGTGGCTCACGCCTGTAATCCCAGCACTTTGGGAGGCTGAGACGGGCGGATCACGAGGTCAGGAGATCGAGACCATCCTGGCTAACACGGTGAAACCCCGTCTCTACTAAAAAAATACAAAAAAATTAGCCGGGCGTGGTGGCGGGAGCCTGTAGTCCCAGCTACTCGGGAGACTGAGGCAGGAGAATGGCATGAACCCGGGAGGCGGAGCTTGCAGTAAGCCGAGATGGCGCCACTGCACTCTAGCCTGGGCGACAGAGCGAGACTCTGTCTCAAAAAAAAAAAAAAAAAAAAAAGAAAAGAAAAGAAAAGAAAAAAATGTAAACACAATATAGCAACTTTTGTGATACAGCAAAAGCAATGCTAAAGGGGGAGTTTATAGCTATAAATACATCAAAAACCAAGAAAATCTCAAATTAACAACCTAACTTTACAACTTAATGAACTATAAAAAGAAAAACTAAATCCAAAGCTGGCAAAAAGAAGGAAATAATAAAGATTAAAGCCAAGATAAATGAAATAGAAAATAGAAAACGATAGAGAAAATCAATGAAACCAAAAATTGGTTCTTTGAAAATGTCAAAGCATTATTCACAATATCTTGAATAGGGAAGCAAGCCAAGTGTCCATCAACAGGTGAGTGGATAAGCAAAATGTGGCATATCCATACAATGGGATAGTATTCAGTGTTAAAAAGGAAGGAAATTCCACAATGTGCTACAACATGGATGAACCTTGAGGATGTTCTGCTAAGTAAAATAAGTCAGTCACAAGACAAATACTGTATGATTCCACTCTTATGAGTAGTCAGACTCAGAGACACAGGAAGTAAGATGGTGACTGCCAGAAAGTAGAAGGTAGAGGGGAACCGAGAGTTAACATGTAATGCATAGTTTGTTTTTCAAGATGAAAGAGGTACAGAGATGGATGGTGGTGTTATGAATATACTTACCACCACTGAGCTGTACACGTAAAGATAGTTAAGACGGTAAATTCTATGGATTTTATTTTTATTTTTTTGAGACAGAGTCTCACTCTCTCCCCCAGGCTGGAGTGCAGTGGCGCGATCTCGCTGTAACCTCCGCCTCCCCGGTTCTATGGGATTCTCCTGCCTCAGCCTCCCTAGTAGCTGGGGTTACACGCGCCCGCCACCACGCCTGGCTAATATTGTATTTTTAGCAGAGACAAGGTTTCACCAGGTTGGACAGGCTGGTCTCGAACTCCTGACCTCAGATGATTCACCTGCCTAGGCCTCTCAAAGTGCTGGGATTACAAGCGTGAGCCACCGCGCCCGGCCATTCTATAGTTCATTTTCACCACAAAAACAAAAATGAAATTCACAACAAGCAAAACTTCAGAAGGGTACAAAGGTAGAGAGCAGTGTGAGCTAATTTTACAGTCTTTCAAAGCATACAGACTGATGGCATCAGCATTAGAGGTGCATGCATTTTAATTAGAATTGTGGTGGTAACATTCATAAAACTGAAAACAAAAAACGAAGAAGATAACTTCTGGGAATCGGGACTTTCAGTGGAGGCGGGGTGATGAGAAAAGGAATATTTACTGTCATCCAACAACTTTGTCTTGTACTTTTGTCATAGGTATTATGCCAGTAATATCCCTGAGAATGTATGGGGCAGGTCTAGCTCTTTTTTTCCTAATAAATTCATTCACACAACAATCAAAACAGCAAGAAAAGGAAGAGATATCCGCACGGCGGCGGCAGGCCGGGGCCGTTCCAAGGGCCTGGCCGGAGGCCACAGGCCAGACGCGGCGGAACCCTCCCGGAGCCGCGCCCGGGCGCGCGCGGGAAGCGGAGGCGGAGTGGGCACGTGCGGCACTTCCGGGGCGGGGCGGGCACGCAGCCCTTCCGAAGGCCCGCGCGAGCCGCTAGTTTTGCCCACGCACTTTTGGCACAGCCGCGCCACGCGATCGGCGATCTGATTGGCCCGCGCGGGAGGGCGCGCGGCGCCAAACTTGCTTCCCGTCAGCCCCCGCCCGTCCCGCGGGAGCGCGCACGCTCGCGCACCCGGATCCCGGCTCCTGCATCCAGTCGCCATTCGGGAGGCCGCTGCGCTGCAGGGCCTCGCGGAGCCGCCCGCGACCGCGAGCCGGGCCCTCCGCGCGGTCCATCGCCCACTGGACGCCGCCCGCGGCCGGACCGGTGAGGAGCGAGAGCGAGCGGGGGAGGGGCGTGGTTGGGGCCTGCATCCCCGAGCCCCGTGTCGGCCGCCGACCTGGCGGGGACGGTCCCGGGAAGCCGCGGGTCCGAGTGAAGGGGGCCTGCGCTGCCTCGCTTCCCACACGGCCCGAGGGAAGGGCCCGCCCCCACAGGCCGGGGCGGGAGTGCGTCTTTGTGCAGGGAGCGGGGAGGCCCGGTGTCAGTCGCTGCCGAGGCTGGAAACATTGCGTTTGAAACCATTGGGAAGTTGAGGGCGGCACAAGACGAAAGCCATTCTTTCTGTTTTAGTTCTAGACTGCCTCCTCTTCTGTCATTATTACTGTTTAAAAATCCGCTATACAGCCTCCAAAGTGGGAGAGGACATTTGTAAACCTGATAAAGAGTTAATGTCTAGAATACAAGAAGAGATGCAACTGACCAACAAAAAGCAACCCAGTTCAAGAATGGGCAAGGAATTTGAATAGATATTTCTCCAGAGAAGAGAGACAAATGGCCAATAAGCACGTGCAGTGATGCTCAACATCACTAACCATTAAGGAAATGCAGATGAAAACCACAATGAGATACCACCTCACACCTGTTAGGGTGGCTATTAAAAAAAAGGGAAATTATGAGTGTTGGGGATGTGGAGAAATTGAAGCTCGGGTGCATTGCTGGTGGGAAAGTAGGGTGGTGCAGCAGCTATGGAAATTGGTAGTCGTTCCTCAGTTCTAGGTTTATACCCCCAAAAATTGACAGCAGAGACTCAGATACTTGTTCACAAATGTTCATCGCAGCATTATTCAAAATCCAGATGTCTATCAACATGTGGATGAAAGGCAAGCTGTGGTATATACATATAATGAATGGACCATTGTTCATCTTTAGAAAGGAATGAAATTCTGATACATGCTGCAATATAAACGAACACATTATACAGTATAAACGAGCACATTGAACACATTATGTTGAGTGAAATAAGACACAAAAAAGACATACTGTATGATTCCCCCTCAGGCACAGAATTGAGATTACCAGCACTGAAAGTGGAGAGTGGAAGTTACTGTTTCATGGGTACAGAATTTCTGTTTGTGGTGAAGAAGTTCTGGAAGTGGATAGTGGTGATGTTTGCACAACGTTTTAGTACTAAACTAACTAAATTGTGCTTTTAAAAATGATTAAATGGCAAGTTTTGTTTTTTTTTTTTTTTTTGAGACGGGAGTTTCGCTCTCGTTGCCCAGGCTGGAGTGCAATGGCCCGACCTTGGCTCACTGCAACCTCCGCCCCCTGGGTTCAAGGGATTCTTTTGCCTCATTCTCCCAAGTAGCTGGCATTACAGGCGCTTGCCACCACACCTGGCTAATTTTGTATTTTTAGTAGAGATAGGGTTTCTCCATGTTGGTCAGGCTGGTTTCGAACTCCTGACCTCAGGTGATCCACCCGCCTCGGCCTTCCAAAGTGCTGAAATTACAGGCATGAACCACCATGTCCGGCCTAAATGGCAAGTTTTTTGTTTTTATTTTTGTTTTTGTTTTTTAATGAGCCAGAGTTTCACTTTTGTTGCCTGGGCTGGAGTGCAGTTATGCGATCTTGGCCCACTGCAGCCTCCGTCTCTCGGATTTAAGCGATTCTCCTGCCTCAGCCTCCCAAGTAGCTGGGATTACAGGCGCCTGCCACCACACCCGGCTAATTTTGTATTTTTAGTAGAGACGAGGTTTCTCCACGTTGGTTAGGCTGCTCTCTGACTTTCAACCTTAGGTGATCCGCCCACCTTGGCCTCCCAAAGTGCTGGGATTACAGGCGTGAGCCTGTGGTGGCGCGCGCCTGTAGTCCCAGCTACTGGGGAGGCTGAGGCAGGAGAATCGCTTGAACCTGGGAGGTGGAGATTGCAGTGAGCCGAGATTGCGCCATTACACTCCAGCCTGGGTGACAGAGCGAGACTCCCTCTCAAAAAAAAATAAATAAATAAAAATGACTCCTTGTGTAAACTATAGACTACTTAATAAATCAGTATTAGCTTATCATTGTAGCAGATATCTCACACTAATGCAAGATGTTAATACAGGTGAAGTATCCTTCATTCGAAATGCTTGGAACCAGAAGTGCTTTGGATTTTTTTTTTTTTTTTTGGATTTTGGAATAGTTGCATTGTACTTACTGGTTAAACATCCGTAATCTGAAATCTAAAATGCTCCTTTTGGCACTCAAAAAGTTTTGGATGTTGGAGCATAATCAGATTTCAGATTTTCAGATTAGGGATGCTCAGCCTGTAGTAGGAAAAACTGGGGACAAGAAGATAGGTGGGAATTCTTGTACATTCCCTTCAGTTTTTCTTCAAACATAAAACTACTTGGAAAATTAGTTTATTAATTTCTTTCTTTTTTGGGTTGGGGGTGAGTATGGAGTCTTACTCTGTTGCCCAGCTGGAGTGCAGTGGCTCAGTCTTGGGTCACTGCAACCTCCGTCTCCCGGGTTCAAGCGATTCTCCTGCCTCAGCCTCCCAGGTAGCTGGGATTATAGGTATGCACCACCACGCCCAGCTAATTTTTGTATTTTTAGTAGAGACAGGGTTTCACCATGTTGGCTGTTGGCCAGGCTGGTCACGAACTCCTGTCCTCAAATGATCCGCCTGCCTTGGCCTCCCAAAGTGTTGGGATTACAGGTGTGAGCCACTGCGCCCGCCCAGTTTATTAATTTCTTAAAGGCCAGGCATGGTAGCTCACACCTGTAATCCCAGCACTTTGAGAGGCCAAGGCAACAAGATCTCTGGAGGCCAGGAGTTCAGGACCAGCCTGGACAACATAGTGAGACCTCATCGCTACAGAAAAAAAAAATTAGCCAGATGTGGTGGCAGGTACCTATGGTCCCAGCTACTTAGGAGGCTGAGGCGGGGGGATCTCTGGAGCCCAGGAGTATGAGGCTGCAGTGAGTTGTGATGGCGTCACTGCACCAAAACCTTGGGCAACAGAGCGAGACCCTGTCTCTAAAAAAGAAAAAAAGTCCGCTAAGATAAAGAACAATGCTAGTGTGTATAGACTAATAGAACCCATTTAGCTTTGAACATGTTCTACTTATTGAATTTTAATTTAAAAAACTATGCATCAGATGTGTTTTAAAAGATGATCAGTGGTGTTCGACTTCAAAGAAGAAATTGAATGGGAGATGGGAAATAGGTATGATACACCATCTGGCATAACATTGCATTGAAGGATACTGGGTGATAGACTGGCAGAGCACCAATGATTAGAATTTAGGTTTTTTAGAGACGAGATGTAATCTGTCTCAAAGACAAAAAGAAATTTTTGTTAATCTGGACAATTCTGAGTTAATTTTTAGTTAGGGTTAGGAGTTCTTAAATTTAGGAAGAAATTTTGCTAGAACCTAAAAGCTGGAAGGACGCCCAGCTCTCTAGGCTTTGCCTAAAAGTTGAATTCTGGGACTAAATTCTGTAACATCTTCGTGGATCGTTCTGCTACTGTGGGAAAGACAGCATTTTGTTACAGCAGAGACCAGAATTGAGAAAACCAGAATAAAAAAACTGTTCCCTCTGACCTCAGTGTTGTGATCTTTGACAGGTCACTTCTTTCCCTCAGCATCAGTCTTTTCAGTTATAAAATGAAGAGGTTGAACTCAAGACCTCTGAAGATCCTTCTAGTCCTATGCTGATCATCATTTTTTTTTTTTTTTGGTTTTCTTTTTTGAGACAGGGTCTCACTCTGTCATCTAGGCTGGAGTGTAATGGTGCAGTCTTGGTTCACTGCAACTCCTGCCTCTCAGGCTCAGGCGATTTCTCTTGCCTCAGGCTCCCGAGTAGCTGGGACTATAGGTGCATTCTGCTGCACCCGGCTAATTTTTGTATGTTTTGTAGAGACGGGGTTTCGCCGTGTTGCCCAGGGTGTTCTTGAACCCCTGAGCTCAAGGGATCCACCTGCCTCAGCCTTCCAGAGTGCTGGGATTACAGGCCTGAGCCACCACACCCGGCCTGATCATCAGATTCTAATTATGGAGTACTCCTACCTGACAAAGGAACTCGTTCTAGTTCATGATAGAGTAGATTGTAAACTGTGTTAAGCCACAATTCTTTTCCTGCTAGCTTCTGATTGTCACTTCTAGGATAGCTCATATATTATCTATAATTCTTCCCCTTTTGAAGTTAAATGTCTTTATTTGTAAATGACTTTTTTTTTTTTAAAGGGCCATCTGCCATCCTGGTTGCCTTTTTTTTTTTTTTTTTTTTTTTTTTTTTAATGTTCCCTAGTTTGTTAGAGACTCTCTTAAAGTGTCCTTCCTGCCCAGAGCTGGGGACAGTGATCCACTGGAATAGTGTACTCTGCCCAGTGCAGAATATGGGATATAGTTCTCTATAGTCCTGTATTTATGCACTTGATATGTGGATTCTAAGTGTTTGTTTCATCTTGTTTATTTTGGACTATTGTACAGGCTTTAAAAGATCTTACTAAATTCCACTGTATTAGTTTGTGTATATCTACAAAGAACCTGGACAGATAGCAGAACTTTATTCTCTCATCAGATACTGATCATTTGTCTGATTTGGGCAAGCTGTTTAATGTCAAGCTTGAGTTTCCTTAACTATAAATTGAAGTTTTAAAGTAGATGATCCCTGAGGTCTTTTCCTACCCTCAAATCCTATGACTTTGAGACTAGATGGTAACTTAGGTTTCCTCTAGTTTTAAAATCCTGTGAGTCTAAGATTGAGAGAATGTTAGGATTGAACAGAGCACATACTGTGTGTCAGGGATGTGCAACGGTTCCAGAGGTGAATAAAGGGATAATAGTCCCTCCTCTCCAGGAGCTGGCATCCTGTTTTTGGTATCAGGCTGTAGTGCCAGAGGGTGACATGTACAGCTGGGGCTTCTAGGAAGATTGGGAAGAAGTGGGGAATTGACCAGTACAGTTGACTCATGAATAACAGAGGTTAGAACTTCAACCAAATGCCAATAAAAAAGAGCGTTTACAGAATGTGAAACATTTATATGGAGGGCAGATGTTTCATATATGGGAATTCCACAAGGCTGACTGTAGGACCTGAGTATGTGTGGATTTTGGCATATGGGGGAAGTCCTGGAACCAGGTCCCTGTGTTTACAGAAAGACAGCTGACTTAAAAAGCTGTCCTGCCTGAAGGATGAAGGAGTTTGCCTGATGGCCGGGTGGCAAGACAGGGAGTGTAAAGGAGAGGAAATAGTTTATACAAATGCACAGACGCTGGAATAGTCAGGGAGTTACATGTGGGCCAGTATTTTGAGAATGCAGTCTGGTCATGGGCCAGACTGTGAAGAGCTTTATATGCCATATTCAAATTGTATACTGTAGGTGTCTTAGTTGACTTGGAGGACATGTGAACAGGCAGATCACATTAGGCTTCTGTTTGGAAGACAGGTTTGGTAGCTGTACGATGAATGGGTTGGAAGAAAAGGAGACTAGTGGCAGGGAGTTCAGATGTCAGAATTAAAGCAGTGATAGGGGTAGGGGATAGAGAAGGGGTAGATGAATGTGCTGGAGCTAATCAGAAGCATAATATGAGCTGTTGTGTAGCTTGTGCATGGCCAGTTTATCACATTCTGTTCCTGTCAGCAGACTCACCCACACCATGATGCTTTATCTTTGAAATGCATGCAGGAAGAGAAGAGGGCAGAGCAATCACTGAAGCAGGTCCATGTGTTCTTCCTTGGGGTCAGGACACTGCCATCCTGCTCCTCCCAGAGTCCTTTCTTTTTGTGCCTCTTGGTCCTCTTTGTTGTGGTGTCCCTTCCTCCACTGCCTGTTAATTTGGCACTCTGCTGTGTAATATCAATAATTGACAAAAGTCAGCCATTGTTATAGTCAGTAGTCACACCAGCAGTCTTCTGAGTGCTTATCAGAGAAGTGAAGTTAGGTGGTGGGTTTGAGAAGGATTTGATTACACACACGGGCATAATTCCATAGTGGATCATTAAAGAGAAAGTAGACAAGGATGGTGTCAGGAGTGGTATCTACTGTAGTCTTTGGTGTCATTTCATAAAAGTAAGTGTTCGGGCTGGGCGCGGTGGCTCACACCTGTAATCCCAGCACTTTGGGAGGCCGAGGCGGGCGGATCACGAGGTCAGGAGATCGAGACCATCCTGGCTAACACGGTGAAACCCCGTCTCTACTAAAAATACAAAAAACTAGCCGGGCGTGGTGGCGGGCGCCTGTAGTCCCAGCTACTCAGGAGGCTGAGGCAGGAGAATGGCATGAACCCTGGAGGCGGAGCTTGCAGTGAGCCGAGATCGCGCCACTGCACTCCAGCCTGGGCGACAGAGCAAGACTCTGTCTCAAAAAAAAAAAAAGTAAGCAGGCTTAGTGGACTGGACTCCTCTCACTGTTAGGGCAGGATGGTGAGAGAAATACACAGAATTCCATTACAGGGGGCACACACGATCACAGATATAGTTTTGATTACTTTTCTTTTTTTTTTTTTTTTTTTCCAGGTTCAACTTCTCATCTTTGTTCTTCTTCATATACTATAGGCTGTTTGCTGTGGTTTAGTCAAAAAGCCATGTAGAATGCCTGCCTTTTGAAGACCACTTTTAAGGTGTCTAGTAAGACAGCAGGTAAGTCTAGTAGGGAAAGCATGCTTAGGAGAATATTTTATGAGGAGAAAATTAAAAAAAAATACCTGGAGTTCTTGAGGAAAATCTCTAAAAGTGTACACGCCCTTATGGATATAATGTGTGTTGTGTGCTAGATATACATAATTTGGGATATGAGAAGTGAATTCTGTAGCATTCTTTGTAGATTTAAGTATGAGATTGGCCTGAAGAGCTGGTGGTAGGCAGCGGGAAGAGGAGGGATGGCTGGGAGGAATGGGGAATGGTAGGTGAGTCAGACTCAAACCCAGCACACCTGAGCTCTTAGTCTCTGTTGTAATTACAATATGTAATATAGTGCTCTTTAATATTAGCTTGGCTGTTCATTATTGCCAGTTGGGCTGTTCATTATTGCCTCATGGGATTATTGAGACATATCCTACGTTTTCCCCTAAAGTCTTCTAGTTTTATTTAACAATGGGCTCTGAGACGGATGGTTAACCCATTATTTTTCCATGCATTCAATTACGTTTGTAAGTTAAAGATCATTTTCAGAGATTTTTCATCAGTACGGAATTATTTATTTTTCTTTTGTTACAGTCCTGGCCCCAAAACAGTTTTCTAAAATACAGGATAACTGCTGGGCAACTCAGAAAGAGTAAATAGTTTCCGAAGAAAAGTATTTGTTTCCTCAAGTATCTGTCACCTTTTTAGCTTTAGATCAAAAAATAAAAAAGGCAAATGATATACCTTGGATAAAAGTGTTAGGAAGCAGTATTGCCAGTGAGAACATCTTTAAAAACAAATTATCAAAGTTAGAAATGTTAATTTTTTTTTTTTTTTTTTTTTTTGAGATGGAGTCTTGCTCTGTCACCAGGCTGGAATGCAGCGGCATGATCTCAGCTCTCTGCAACCTCCGACTTCTGGTCCAAGCGATTGGCCTGCCTCAGCCTCCCAAGTAGCTGGGACTACAGGCACACGCCACCACGCCTGGCTAATTTTTGTATTTTTAGTAGAGATGGGGTTTCACCATGTTGGCCATGATGGTCTTGATCTCCCGACCTCGTGATCTGCCTGCCCGGCCTCCCAAAGTGCTGAGATTACAGGCATGAGCCACTGCGCCCAGCCTATACATTTTTTTAAAATAATGGTTTTGTAATTAATAAAGGGAGAGCCTGCATTTCTAATCTGTACTGTTCTTTGAGGAGGAGTAAATATCATTACCGTCAATAAGGGAAGGTGTTCAGTCTTTCTCATTAAAGAGAAGCACATTAACACAATAGTGAAATACTAGCTTTCACCTAGGTTGTAGCAAGGATTAGGAATTTATAGGAAATTGTCTCTCATATATACACGTTGTTATGCAGTAATAGAAGTTTTTGAGAGTTTGGTAAAATGTATCAATTTTACACACAAATGGCCAAGTAATCCATTGCTAGGAATTTTCCCTGCAGAAATACCCTCACATGCACAGATAAGTACAGGGAAAGTCAGTGCTTATTCCATATGTAAAAATGTCTTAGAGATAAATTCTAAATGAGAGTAAGTTGCCAGATAATATGTTTAATATCCCATTTGTGTAAAGCATGTGTGTTGATCAATATATGCTTAGGACATTTCTTCCAGGACACATGAGTACACTGGCTACCCCTAGGGACTGACACTCTGTATCTCGTACTGTGTGAATGTGTTTTTAACTGTGAGCTTCTATTCCCTTTACTACTTAAGAAGACTGGTTTACAATTTTTTTAAATTCATGTTTTCCGGCAACTGTGTTCCAGCTGCTGGGGTGTCCTCTGATTTGCCCTTTGGTTGGTATGCGCCTTCACATCATTCAGGATCTCTGCTGGAATGTCCCATGCATAGAGGTCTTTTCCAACGGCCTCTACATCACTCTCCACCTTATCTTTCCAACTCATGAACGCCATATTGCAAAGCACTGCTTTAAGCCTAAGTGCCTAGAACATTGTAGGACACAAAGTTATTTATTTATTAAATGAATTAATAGAATACTATATTGGGATAGATTAAACATTACAAAATATGTTGACATGAAATCAAGCCAGCATCATGTTTTAAAGTCATCTTTTTATAGCTAGATTTAATTTATTAAGTGCTTTCTGCAAAAGTTTTAGTCTCTTGTTCATCCTTAAATAGCCAAGATTTAATTTTGATATTCACTCATCTTTGTGTGCTGAGGACTTTTGTACTCGGAGTTTGAGAGTCAAAGTATAAAGCACATGCAATAGCTAATTCTAGAGTCAGGCTCACATCACTGATAGTCCTATAGCCTGGACCAGAGAAAGTCAGGTAACTTCTCTGAACCTGTTTCTTCATCTGTAAGTGAAAATAATAGTTGAGTCATATCATTAGGATTAAATGAGATGATGTATGTGAAACTCCTAGCAGAGTGCCTGGGACTGTTCTATATCTCCTTTTTCTTCAAATTCTCCCTAGAGATACTATCAAATAAAGCACGCACTGTTCTAGACTTAAAATTATGCAGTTATAGAATGGACTGACAGCATTTTATTCAGAATTACAGTTCATGAAAATAATTTATTCCTACTTTATTGCAGCAGTATTGAAAGTTTTTAAAGAATATAACCGTGTGTGTTGGTAACAGACAGAAGAATGGAAGCATTCCAGGAACTTCGTAAACCATCAGCACGTTTGGAGTGTGACCATTGCAGTTTCAGAGGCACAGACTATGAAAATGTACAAATCCATATGGGTACCATCCATCCAGAATTTTGTGATGAAATGGATGCTGGTGGGCTAGGCAAAATGATATTTTACCAGAAAAGTGCAAAGTTATTTCACTGCCATAAATGCTTCTTCACCAGCAAGATGTACTCTAATGTATACTATCACATCACATCCAAACATGCATCCCCAGACAAATGGAATGATAAACCAAAAAATCAGTTGAACAAAGAAACAGATCCTGTGAAAAGCCCTCCTCTTCCTGAACACCAGAAAATACCCTGCAATTCAGCAGAACCAAAATCCATACCTGCCCTTTCAATGGAAACACAGAAACTTGGTTCAGTTTTGTCTCCAGAATCGCCAAAACCTACTCCTCTTACTCCCCTGGAGCCTCAGAAACCTGGCTCTGTTGTTTCTCCTGAGCTACAGACACCTCTTCCTTCTCCTGAGCCTTCAAAACCTGCCTCTGTTTCTTCTCCTGAACCTCCAAAATCAGTCCCTGTTTGTGAGTCTCAGAAACTTGCCCCTGTTCCTTCTCCAGAACCACAGAAACCTGCCCCTGTATCTCCTGAGTCAGTAAAGGCTACTCTTAGTAATCCCAAACCCCAGAAGCAGTCTCATTTCCCGGAAACATTGGGGCCACCTTCAGCCTCATCTCCAGAGTCACCAGTTCTAGCTGCTTCCCCAGAACCTTGGGGACCATCCCCAGCTGCATCTCCAGAATCTCGGAAGTCAGCCCGGACTACCTCCCCTGAGCCAAGGAAGCCATCCCCTTCAGAGTCTCCTGAACCTTGGAAGCCGTTCCCTGCTGTCTCCCCAGAGCCTAGGAGACCAGCCCCCGCTGTGTCACCAGGCTCTTGGAAACCAGGGCCACCTGGGTCCCCTAGGCCTTGGAAATCCAATCCTTCAGCATCATCAGGACCTTGGAAGCCAGCTAAACCTGCTCCATCTGTGTCTCCTGGACCTTGGAAACCAATTCCTTCTGTATCTCCTGGACCTTGGAAACCAACTCCATCTGTGTCTTCTGCATCCTGGAAATCTTCATCAGTCTCACCCAGCTCCTGGAAGTCTCCCCCTGCATCTCCTGAGTCATGGAAGTCTGGCCCACCAGAACTCCGAAAGACAGCTCCCACGTTGTCTCCTGAACATTGGAAGGCAGTTCCCCCAGTGTCTCCAGAGCTTCGCAAACCCGGCCCACCACTATCCCCAGAGATCCGTAGTCCAGCAGGATCTCCAGAGCTCAGAAAACCCTCAGGGTCACCAGATCTTTGGAAGCTTTCTCCTGATCAGCGGAAAACTTCTCCTGCTTCACTTGATTTCCCTGAGTCCCAGAAAAGTTCCCGTGGTGGTTCTCCTGATCTCTGGAAGTCTTCCTTTTTTATTGAGCCTCAGAAACCTGTCTTCCCTGAGACCCGAAAACCAGGTCCTTCTGGGCCATCTGAGTCCCCCAAAGCAGCCTCAGATATCTGGAAGCCTGTTCTCTCTATCGATACTGAGCCTAGAAAACCTGCCCTGTTTCCCGAGCCTGCCAAAACAGCCCCTCCTGCTTCTCCAGAAGCACGCAAACGTGCCCTTTTTCCAGAGCCCCGGAAGCATGCCCTTTTCCCTGAACTCCCCAAATCTGCTCTATTCTCAGAATCACAGAAGGCTGTTGAGCTTGGTGATGAACTACAAATAGATGCCATAGATGATCAAAAATGTGATATTTTGGTTCAGGAAGAACTTCTAGCTTCACCTAAGAAACTCTTAGAAGATACTTTATTTCCTTCCTCAAAGAAGCTCAAGAAAGACAACCAAGAGAGCTCAGACGCTGAGCTTAGTAGTAGTGAGTACATAAAAACAGATTTGGATGCGATGGATATTAAGGGCCAGGAATCAAGCAGTGATCAAGAGCAGGTTGATGTGGAATCCATTGATTTTAGCAAAGAGAACAAAATGGACATGACTAGTCCAGAGCAGTCTAGAAATGTGCTACAGTTTACTGAAGAAAAAGAAGCTTTTATCTCTGAAGAGGAGATTGCAAAATACATGAAGCGTGGAAAAGGAAAGTATTATTGCAAAATTTGTTGCTGTCGTGCTATGAAAAAAGGTGCTGTTTTGCATCATTTGGTTAATAAGCATAATGTTCATAGCCCTTACAAATGCACAATCTGTGGAAAGGCTTTTCTTTTGGAATCTCTCCTTAAAAATCATGTAGCAGCCCATGGGCAAAGTTTACTTAAATGTCCACGTTGTAATTTTGAATCAAATTTCCCAAGAGGTTTTAAGAAACATTTAACTCATTGTCAAAGCCGGCATAATGAAGAGGCAAATAAAAAGCTAATGGAAGCTCTTGAACCGCCACTGGAGGAGCAGCAAATTTGATAACACAGTGTGAATATTTGTTCTACAAAGGTGTTTGTTGGAACCATTCTTTGTAAGTATAGCTTATCAGATAGCATAGTTGGATCAGTAGATGACATGTATGGTGTACCGTGTTTCACTGTCTCAGTTGTGTTACTAAGAATGAGCATTTGATCATTTTTTTCTGGTCTCTGTCTATGTGACTATCTTGTAAGTCAATAAATTTCTGTATAGTCCAGATGGATTAAACTTCTCATTTCTTTTAAATATGTATGAATAATAATACAAGGAAGTAGGCATTCCATTTAATAATCAAGAGCAAGTTGTACTCAAAGCATTCAGTTAAAGTGTATCTGTGTGTGGAACTAATTTCAGACAATAGAAAATATTAGTTGAAATGTTTAAGAATTAGGCATGAAAAATAAATTTGAGAAATTTTGTTTCCTTACATGTATTTTTAAATCATAAGAGTTATTTTCTATCTGATGTAAAATTAGTTTATAAATCTTAATCAGCTTCTAGATGTTTATTAGCTTTTATGTCATGAAATGTTGGAGTCTCAGGGTTGCTGATTTTCTGCTAATGGGAAAAATTGACTAAGTCTTTAAAATAGTTTGCAGCCTTCTCCCACAGGAGACAAGTGAAAGATAAGTGTGATTTTAGATCTTTCTTGTCCATAGTTGTTTTCAGTGGAGTCTTCCATTCTGTATCTTACCCTAAGATCTGGTTCTTCCCTCCCCATCCCCACCCCCCACCCACCGCCTGCCAGCTCACACTAATAGATGATTCTTAATTGCCAAATGTGTTAGAGTTTGTATATCCTACTCCTGGGCCTTACATGTCGCCTGTTGGGGCTTAAGACCAGGTTGATAAGTAGGAACTGAAAGTCTTCCAGATTCACAGTAGAAAATTTTATAGACATTTCTGTTAAAGAAATATATCGATTTTATGTTTTTCAATTATGTTACTGTAAATACCTTGTACCTGTTCATGGATTATTTTATTCTAAAATATTTTGTCAAATGTGTATCAACCAAATTAAAAAGAAAGGTTTTCATGTCAGCAACATCTTCATGTGTGTTTTCTTTTGTGTAGTTTTCATTGTATGATATACAGATCCATTATTTCCATGTTTTCAACATAGTTTTCTTATCTGGAGCAGCATTTTCTTAGCTGTGTTTTCTCCAAGTTCTGTGGTCAAGTAAGTTAGGGGAATGCGTGTATAGGGAGGACTCTGTGTCAAAAACCTCATCCTTTCATATGAAAGGTTTTTTAATTCCAGTGGTTGCCTATCCTGCCTGCCTCTAAACAGTGTGAGGCATTTAATCTCAAAGCATTCTGATGTGTAGCCAGGATTGAGATGCTGTACTGGGTTTATTTTAGCTATTCCCAGACATTTTTTTAACAAGGAACAGTTTTGTCCTAGTTCCCCACCCGCTGGCTTCCCTATTAATATGCCCGTTGGGATAGCTTAACAATATTTAGTAATATGGTTTGGCTCTGTGTCCACACTCAAATCTCTCTCTTTTTATTTTTGTTTTTTATTTTGAGACCGATCCTTGCTGTGTCACCCAGGTTGCTGTGCCGTGGTGTGATCTTGGCTCACTGCAGTCTCTGCCTTTCAGATTCAAGGGAGTCTCGTGCCTCAGCCTCCTGAGTAGCTGGGACTACATGTGTGTGCCACCACATCTAGCTAATTTTTGTAGTTTAATAGAGATGGGGTTTTGCCATGTTGGCCAGGCTGGTCTCGAACTCTTGGGCTCAAGTGATCCACCTGCCTCACTTGAGGGAGTGCTGGGATTACAGCTGTGGGCCACCACACCTGACCCCCACCCAAATGTCATATTGAATTGTAATCCCCAGTGTTGGAGGAGGGGCCAGCCTGGTGAGAAGTGATTGGATCATGGGGGTGGACTTCCCCTTGCTGTTCTCGTGATAGTGTGTGAGTTATTTAAAAGTGTTTAGCCCCTCCCCTTCGCTCTGTTCCTCCTGCTCCAGCCATGTTGGATATGCCAGCTTCCCCTTCACCTTCTGCCGTGATTGTAAGTTTCCAGAGCCGCCCTGCCTCCTGCCCCAGCTGTGTTTCCTCTGCAGCGTGTGGAACCATTAGCTAATTAAACCTCTTTTGTTTATGAATTACCCGGTCTCAGGTCTTTGCAGCAGTGTAAGAACAGAGTAATACATTTAGATAATACCAAGTAAGGTCTTAGAAGCCTCAGATCTGTTAACTTCGGTGAACACAGCACTGAGTAGCTGCTGCTATCAATTTACGTGGCACCTTGAGAACGAGCTTCCAGATCAGGAGTTCCCTTCTAGGCAGTGATGCCAACAAATAGGACAGGTAAGATATCTTGGATATACTAGTTGTCCTTTTCTTGTCGATACTGACTGACTGAAGTTGTTTTTGAGAAACAAAAAGGGTCTGCATTACCTAGAAACTCTCCTGGCTCCTGCAGTCTCAGACCAACCCTGTTACACAGATTCTTTTCTAAGACTTCACCCTGTCTGGTGCAAACCTGGCAGTTCATCCTAGACCTTTGCTCCAGGTGGCACCAACTAAGTCACATGACTTGCCATCTGATTTGGGGTTTTTTATAATAGTGCCATAGGATAAGAGTTAATTGCCTGGGTAAGTGGTAGTGATGCATGTGTAGTTTTGGCTTTTAAGGACTTTATTTGGCTAAACCCCTGTGTTGTTGGTTTACCTTACTGGCTTCCACTCTTTCTTTTTTTCTGTTTTTGAGACTGAGTTTTGCTCTTGTCTCCCAGGCTGGAGTGCAGTGGCGTGATCTCAGCTCACCACAAACTCTGCCTCCCGGGTTCAAGCGATTCTCCTGTCTCAGCCTCCCAAGTAGCTGAGATTACAGGCGCCTGCCACCACACCCAGCTAATTTTTGTATTTTTAGTAGAGACAGGGTTTTACTATTTTGGCCAGGCTGTTCTTGAACTCCTGACCTCAGGTGATCCACCCACCTTGGCCTCCCAAAGTGGAGGATGGAGACGTATTTAAAAGCACTGAGCACAAAGGAGGCACTCAATCCATGGTGGTAATTATTATTCTAACCTTATTAGCCCCCTGCCGATTCAATGTATACCATTCACTAGTTTGTTTAAATAATTTGTGAATCAGTTTATATTTTCAAGTTGCCATATGTTTTAGGGTTCTCCGGAGAGTCAGAACCAATAGGATATATATATGGTATAGAATGGTAACCAGCACTCTACACTCTGTTTTTATGAGTCTGACTTTTCTAGATTCCACATACAAGTGAGATTATGCAGTATTTGTCTTTCTGTGTCTGGTTTATTTTACTTAACATAATGTCCTTCAAATTCATCCCTGTTGCCATAAGTGGCAGGATTTTCTTCTTTTCAGGCTGAATAGTATTTCATTGTGTGTGTGTGTATATATATACACACAATTTGCTAAGCAGGGAGATCCGCAGACCCTCTTGGCTCCCAGCATGCTGGGGTCAGGTTTGCAGTCTTAGGAGATCGGTGAACTCTTTTTGGAGAGGATCTGCAAATACCAACAGTTTCAGGGTTTCCTCAGGTCCAGGAGTGCCAGGCTCCTGTGCACTCTTCCTTTGGGGAAGCAAAGGAAGACTCCATCAGTGCACACAGAATGCATTAATTATACTTTCTTATTTTCTGTTTTCTTCATGCTCTAGCATCTGGGGTTTACTGGGAAAAGATTGCCTTTTCCAGGGCCAGGCAATTAAACTACCAATCCAGAATGCGTACTCCTAACCACCTACTTTATCTGTATATATATTACCTTCATATATATATACACACACATACTACATTGTCTTTATCAGTTCATTCATTGATGGACACGGGTAGATTCCATATCTTGGTTATTGTGAGTAATGCAGCAATAAACATGGGAATGCAGCTATTTCTTTGGGGTCCCGATTTCATTTTTTTGTGGATAAACACCCAGAAATGAGATGGCTCTTCATTACTCTGTGAAAGGCCGTAAAAGCCACCACACCCCTAAGTGAAATCACCACATTAGTGAAAATAAGCTGTATCTCTCCACCCAACGTTCTCTTCCCATGCTTTTAGCACTCCTGGTCCCAGTGCCAGGGGTTTTCTGTAACTCCAGCTTTTTGCATGCTCTATTAGCATTAGAAAATTATTTCTCTTTAATCAGGAAAGCCACGCTCAGGCTATTGCAAATCACCCACTTTGAACAGGCCTGTGACAAGCCTAGACTAGATACAAGTAATTAATAAGAGGCAGGTCGCTGGGCGCGGTGGCTCAAGCCTGGAATCCCAGCACTTTGGGAGGCTGAGGCGGGTGGATCACGAGGTCTGGAGTTCAAGACCAGCCTGGCCAATATGGCAAAACCCCGTCTGTACTGAAAATACAAAAATTAGCCGGGTGTGGTGGCACGTACCTGTAGTCCCAGCTACTCAGGAGGCTGAGACAGAAGAATCACTTGAACCCAGGAGGTGGAGGTTGAGCCGAGATTGTGCCACGGCATTCCAGCCTGGGTGACACAGCAAGACTCTGTCAAAAAATAAATAAATAAAAGCAGGTAAAATAATTAAGCAACAATAAACACAATTGGCAGTGGTCATCCAGAGGACTATGACTTCCCTGAGGAGGACGTGTGAAGGTTGAAAACCAGGTAATAAGTGGCCTGAAGACATCAAGGAGTGCAAGTGACCCTATTATTCATTATTCCTTAATCTGTTCTCCAGCCAAGACTGTGGGGTTAGTGCCTCCCACTTTCATGGAGATAACCGACTGTATACAAACAGGGTCTGTGTGGGAGTGGGATTTCAAGGACTCTCAGCACTTTTTCTATATTTGCTACTTTACTGAGTTGGATACAGGCAATAAGGTCTCCATTTGACTTGCGTGGGGCTGAGGCACTGATATTCACAAATACAAGTATAGTACTGGGTATAATGGAACCGATGGGCATTCTGATTTGGTTAAATTTCTGTTGGTAGATGGTTGTAAATAACAGAACAACCACCTGCTCTGGTTTGCCCATGACTGTTACAGCAACTTGGGATGGCTGGTCACCCAGAAGAACACAGCCATTCTTAGAGCACAGGGTGCCCCCAGCCTCACTGTGTTTGCAGGTGCCAACCTTCGATCCCTACGGCTGTCATTCTCTTTTTTTTTTTTTTTTTTTTTTGAGATGAAGTCTTGCTCTGTCGCCCAGGCTGGAGTACAGTGGCACGATCTCAGCTCACTGCAAGCTCCGCCTCCCAGGTTCACACCTTTCTCCTGCCTCAGCTTCCCCAGTAGCTGGGACTACAGGCGCCCGCCACCACACCCAGGTAATTTTTTTGTATTTTTTTAATAGAGACGGGGTTTCACCATGTTAGCCAGGATGGTCTCGATTTCTTGATCTCGTGATCTGCCTGCCTCGGTCTCCCAAAGTGCTGGGATTACAGGTGTGAGCCACTGCGCCCGGCCCAGCTGTTGTTCTTGAGATGGCATCTTCCTTTCAGTCTCACCTTTCCTGGCACCAGACCCAGCAAAAGGCAAGGCAACAGGAAGCAGCCCATGGCTCCTTTTGAGCCTGAGGCCCCAGAGCCTGCATCTGGAACCTTCTAACTGCAGAGGCTGCTCCCAGGGGTCTGCAGAAGGGATGGCATATCTCCCCATGGTCTGTGTCATGGGCCCCACCAACATAGTCTACAAGGTCTCACCGGCAGGTCTTCAGGCCTAACTCTAAATTCAGGAAGCTCCCTACAGACAACACAGGTTCCTGAATGTTGTCGTCTAATCTAGCTTCAAAATCTTTTCACTTACATATGGGGTGCACATTCTTTACTTGGAAAATGATTTCACAGGAGAATGCCTGACTGAAATTTACTCATGAGTAAACCTTTGCACTCTTTCCTCTGAAAAATAATAACATGAGGCCCATTATCAGTTAGTGATAATCTAAGAAAAGTGATGAAGACAGAGGCCTAGATCTGTTCTGAGTTGGGGTTGCCCAAACCTGCAGGGTGAGTAGCCTCTGATTTGTACCTTCTGGTGGGTGAGGTAAATGTGCTCCTGCAGGTCTTATACTCATTGCATTATCTCCATGTAGCATCACATATGACTTTAAAGCACTGTGCTTGGCCGGGCGTGGTGGCTCACACCTGTAATCCCAGCACTTTGGGAGGCCGAGGTGGGCGGATCACGAGGTTGGGAGATCGAGACCATCCTGGCTAACACGGTGAAACCCCGTCTCTACTAAAAAATACAAAAAATTAGCCGGGCGTGGTGGCAGGCGCCTGTAGAGGCAGGAGAATGGCGTGAACCCGGGAGGCGGAGCTTGCAGAGAGCCGAGATTGTGCCACCGCACTCCAGCCTGGGTGACACAGCAAGACTCCGTCTCCAAAAAAAAAAAAAAAAATTCTGAGTACATTTTAAAACATAAGGCATCCAATGGAATTTTTAAAACCCTTATATGGATAATTTTAAACATTTGTGTAAATAAACAATGAATTTAACAAACTCCTATATGTCTATAACCCTTCAGAACAACCGGAAACACATGGCCAATTCTGTTCTGTCTATATTCCCAAATAAAATTCATACATTGTGATTAGCTGATGTGTTTTTTAGTCTATATAATTTATACATTTCCCCTATATCTCCTATATATCATTTTCTTGTAATTTATTTCTTGAAGAAGCTGTGTTGATTTTCCTGATTCATCTTCAGAGTTTAAAATAGAATTTCACAAAAAGAAAAAAATAAAAGCAGACTGAAGGAATAAAAATGTCAGAAAAGAAATCAATGGGATTTAAATGGTACAGCTGCTTTGGAAAACAGTCTGGCAGTTCCTCAAAAAGTAAGACATAGAATTACTCTTTGACCCATCAATTCTACTGAAGTCTTCATACTGAAGAGGATTAAAAACATGTCCACACAAAAACTGGGACACAGATGTCCATAGCAGCATTATCCATAATAGCCAAAAGGTAGAAACAACCGAAATGTCCACCAACTGATGAGCGGATAAATAATATGAAGTATATTCATACAATGGACTATTACTCAGCCTCAAAAAGGAATGGTTGCCAGAGGTTGGAGGAGGAAAAAATGGAAAATACAGTATTTCTTTCTTGGGTGCTGAAAATATGTTAGAATTAAATAGTGGTGAAGTTTGTGATACTTCCAGAAAGTGCTAAATTGTACACTTCAAATGAATAAAATGTAGTATGTGAATTATACCTCAACTTAAAAATCAAGAACATTTTCCAGAAATAAAGTTTAAGAATTTTCAGATTTAAAAGATCTATTGAGTTCCCTTCAAAATGAATTTCAAAGTTCTTCTACACTAAAGCACATTATTGTGAAATTTGATAACATCAGAGAAAAAGATCTGAAAAGCTTCCAGAGAAGTGAAAGAAAAAGATCACCTGCAAAGAATCAAGAACCAAAATGGCACTGAAGTTTTTCATTGAAATTTTAGATATAATAAGAAAATGAAATTTGGCCTTCACATTCTGAGAGAAATACATATATTTTAAACCCTACTAAGCCGCCAACCCAGTGTGAGAATAGTGCTCAGGCATTTTGGGACATGCACAGCATCAAAGCTTTACCTTCGATTAGGAAGCTACAGTAAAGTGGCAACCTAAGAAATGGGAGAATGAATTCCAGGAGCAGGTGATCCATGCAGGAGAGAGGAGCAGCATTGCCGAGAGCCAGGGGTGAAGCAATTCAAGCTGGAGACACTGAGACAAACACAGGGGCGCCTGGCATTCTCTCAGAGGCAGTACAGTGGTTCTCACAACTCAGTAAATGTGGTAATTATCTCTTATCTGGTTACAATGCATCTTCCCAGGCCTGCCAGCAGGGATTCTAAATCCTGATGCAAATGATGTGGCAGCACTTGTGGTTATAGACATGAGTGTTTGAATCACAGATCCAGGTCCAAACCCAAATCCCCTCAGTAATTAACTGTATGCTGTCATTCAATTACTTAATCTCTCCAGCACGCCACTTCCTCAGGCCAATTCATATGGGAATATAAATTCATAGGAGTGTTATAAAGGGTAGTTTGTACAATGAGCTCGTGACTATGAAATGCTTAGCATGGCATCCAAAAAGTCCTCAGTAAGTGGTGCAACAATACCTTTTTATTACAGAAAACACACTCAACCTAGAAAACAGTGTTCATAGGGGATTCAGAGAAGTAAGTACAGTTGGGTGAGCAGAGCAAGCCAGCGTGGAGAGGGTCTTTCCTAGGTGAGGCCTCTACCACATTTGAAAGTGGGATGCAGGGCAAGAGCTCAACATCAACCAGGACGGGCAGGAATGAAGTAAATAGCTCACACCTGTTCCTTCATGGGTCAGTTCCTTTCATTTTCACTTTTGACTCTGATGCAAAATTAGAACTCTGCTCAAATGTCACTATTCTTAATAAAGTAAAGTAAATAAGTAGGATCCAAAAACTTCAATTGCATAAAATACGTGCTCTTATGACAAGGCAAATGGGAAATATTTTGCAGTTGGTCATTGCCATCACAATAACACAAATTCTAAAACTTATACTGTTTACAACTGAACCACACCCTCAAATAATCAAAAAATGGTCCCTCCCTAAACTCTCTCCCCAGGAAGAGAAAGTCTTTGGCTGCCCCAACCTGAGCAGGAAAGCAGGTGGAGAGGGGGAGCCCACAGCTACAGTGGCAAGAAGTCTGAGGGCTGAGGGCTTTGACCAAATAATAGGGAATTGGGTTGAGTTGTTTGAATCATTTTCCAATAACTGACGTATAAAATAGATTCATTGAAGGAGCTGGGGAATGGGAGCCCACCCCTCAGTCTCCAGCCTCCCCTCAGTCTCCAGCCCCCCCAAACTACATGTTTCTCCAGAGTAACCTTGAGCCTCTCCCAGCATGGATTAAAACCCATGGCTCTTCCAGATCTAAAATCTGAGGCTCTACAATTTAAGTCATAGTTAGGCACTTCCATACCTGTGATGGTAACATTCTTACATACTCAGTCTATCATTGTTTAATATTGAATGAAAGACACACATTTTGTTTACTTATTATGCAGCAGCTAGTCTGTGTTCACCTGCGTTGTCTCAGGGTCAGCTCTTTATTTCCAAGAATCCTGTCCCATTTCCTGGAGCCTATTGACCGGGGGAAAGATGTGGTCAAAAGTTAAAGGTATGTTGGGCAAAGCCTTAGAAACAGCTTTTCTGACAAGCAATGGGGAAAAGACCCCGTTCAATAAATGGTGCTGGGAGCTGGGCCCCTTTCTTACACCATACACAAAAATGAACTCAGGATGGATTAAAGACTTAAGTGTAAAACCCAAAAATATAAAAACCCTGGAAGACAACCTAGGCAATACCATCCTGGACATAAGAACAGGCAAAGATTTCGTGACAAAGACACCAAAAGCAATATCAACAAAAGCAAAAATTGACGAGTGGGATCTAATTAAACTAAAGAGCTTCTACACAGCAAAAGAAACTATCAACAAAGTAAACAGGCAACTTACAGATTGGAAGAAAGTATTTACAAACTATGCATCTGACAAAGGTCTAATATCCAGCATCTATAAGGAACTTAAACAAATTTACAAGAGAAAGACAACCCCATTAAAAAGTGGGCCAAGGACATGAAGAGACACTTCTCCAAAGAAGACAAACATGTGGGCCGGGTGTGGTGGCTTACGCCTGTAATTCCTGCACTTTGGGAGGCTGAGGCAGGTGGATCATGACATCAGGAGATTGAGACCAACCTGGCTAACATGGTGAAACCCCGTCTCTACTAAAAATACAAAAAATTAGCCGGGTGTGGTGGTGGTCGCCTGTAGTCCCAGCTACTTGGGAGGCTGAGGCAGGAGAATAGCATGAACCCAGGAGGCAGAGCTTGCAGTTAGCTGAGGTCGCGCCACTGCACTCTAGCCTGGGTGACAGAGCAAGACTCCGGCTCAAAAAAAAAAAAAAAAAAGATAAATGTGGTAAACAAGCTTATAGAAAAAAGCTCTAGATCACTGATCACTAGAGAAATGCTCATCAAAACCACAGTGAGGCACCATCTCACACCAGTTAGAATGCCTATTACTAAAAAGTAAAAAACCAACAGATGCTGGCAAGGTTACAGGGAA
This sequence comes from Homo sapiens, assembly GCF_000001405.40. Lineage (NCBI taxonomy): Eukaryota > Metazoa > Chordata > Mammalia > Primates > Hominidae > Homo > Homo sapiens. Next base: position 114,336,356 of record NC_000013.11, read on the forward strand.
AAGTGAACACTTATACAATGTTGGTGGGAGTGTAAGTTAATTCAACCATGGTGGAAAGCAGTATGGTGATTCCTCAAAGAGCTAAAAGCAGAACTACCATTCGACCTAGCAATCCCATTACTGGATATATACCCAGATGAATATAAATAATTCTACCATGAAGATACATGCATGCAAATATTCATTGCAGCACTATTCACAATAGCAAAGACATAGAATCAACCCAAATGCCCATCAATCATGGACTGGATAAAGAAAATGTGCTACATATACACCATGGAATACTATGCAGCCATAAAAAAGAACAAGATTATGTCTTTTGCATTAGTATGGATGAAGCTGAAGGATATTATCCTTAGCAAACTAATGCAGGAACAGAAAACCAAATACAGCATGTTCTCACTTATAAATGGGAGCTAAATGATAAGAACTTGTGAACACAAAGAAGGAAACAAAAGACACTGGGGTCTACTTGAGGGGGGAGGGTGGGAGGAGGGAGGGGAGCAGAAAAGATAACTATTGGGCACTGGGCTTAATACCTGGATGATGAAATAACATGTACAACAAATCCCTGTGACACGTGTTTACCTGTATAACAAACCCTCCCATATACCCCCCAACCTAAAATAAAAGTTAAAAAAAAAAAAAAGGAACACAGCTTTTTATTTTTTTCTCTTTAATACCATAAAGGTCATGGGCCATTTGCCACCTGAACAGTCAGTAACACATGAGTGTAAAGAAACTGAACACCCAGGGACACCAGAGACCGTTCACTGTAGAGGAAGGAGGCAGGTATAACTCATAAGGTGAACTTCCTCCAGTCCCAAAGTGGTTCCCCTCTCCTTAAATGCGGGTCCCATGGAATTCAGATTTAGAAGTGAAGCAAATGAGAATAGCTCACAGGGGAGCAGTTCAAATGTGCCGAAAAGGATAGAGCAGCCCCAATAAGGAAGGAAGGCCAGACAAGCAATGGATTTGTAGGGAAGACAATGTGCACCCATCAGAGCTCTGATTCCTTCACTTCCACTACCCTGCCCTGCCCACTAACTTTGAAAAAATATGGATGGCAAGTGTTGGGCCGTAAGACATTTCCTTGCTTTATAATCTGGATTTAGTGGGTTAAATTTCAGAGATAGTGAAAACATCCCCCTTTAGTTAACTTTTAATTTCATAATTGTACCTTTTTTTTTTTTTTTTACAGATATTTGAACATGTAAAACAAAGAAAAGAGTACGGAAGTAATTTATAATCAACAAATATGTGTTCACTGAGTAAGTGATACTGACATGGCATATGGCATACAAGCATCCTGAGAGTAGGATCATGGGGCATTCAATGGTGATTGTCCCTAGAGCTGGTTAGGGCCCAGCTTTCCACTGTCCTTGTACTGCTGCGTGTACAATCGGTGTCTTCTTTAACTTCACAGAGATGCCACAAGGCAAATAGCATTGTCTTCACTTTCTGTGTAAGAAAACTAAGGCTCGGTGAGAGTATGCAGAGCTGGTTCATGGATTTGTTTGGGTCCTTCTAGTTTCAAAACCCGTGAATATTTTCCTGTCTCTAATGCTAATCTTAGCAATATATTTGGAATAAGCATATAAACATATAACCACAGTCCACTCAGGTAATAGGCAACTAAATTATAAATAAATGCTCAACGAGATTATGAGTGATTGAATGAGCTATATACAAGAATAATAACTGGTGGAAGTGTTATTCATAGGATAAAGTAGAAATCATTTAAATGGCTAATAGTATAAGGAGGGTTAAATCAAGCAGGTGTGGAAATAGCTGATTTACATATATAGTTTATGCCATGTAAAACGTTTATAATCTAATATTGGATGAAAAACAGATACAATATTTTATGTACAGTATAATCTAAAATTTCTATGTTTAGTTAAAAATGCAGGAATATAATTATCAAAATTTGAGTGATAAAATTATGAATAATTTTTTTCTTTGATAACTCATTTTATATTTACCAAAGATCCTCCAAAGAGATTATACACTTTTTTTAACTAGAAAAAAGTTATTTGTTAAAGAGATCATAAATGACATAATATTTTACAGAAGTTAAGAGCTGAGATTGTGAGAATTTCCAGGGACTCCTGCCATCAGCCCACCTCGCATCATTGTTTACATGGAAATGTTGGGACTGAGGTGACCTCATGCCTCTCAATTCCCAGCCAGCCTTCTCTCCCTCTGGCTCTTAGCTAGCCTGTTAAACAGAAAATAATCAGTGAGACGAATAAACTACACCCTAGTGTTCTAACAAGTTACACATAATTGCTTGCTTACCAATTGTCTACCTCAGAACTTTCTTTTCCTCATAGAGTCAACATAATCATCTATTTTAAATTCGGCTTTTGCCATTTTACAGTCCAAGATGCTGGACTTTGCATAGGGCATGGATGGGTTTCCACAGTCCACACGAGGATGGGAGGAGAACAGGGCAGATCCAGCCCCACTCAGTGAGAGTTCTGGCTGGAGTTAGTTGGCTGGACTTCACTCCAGAGAGAGACCTTCCTCTGTACCAGCTACCAAGACAGCCCCTAGTTGGAAAATCTTTTCTTCTAAGGTGAGATGCAGCCCCCACTGGAGAGAAAAACACCAGAGAGTTTTAAAAAGGAAAAACCAAGGTAAGCTGAGGGGCTTCTTGACAGGGGACACAGCAGAGTCCACCCAGCTGGGGTGAATCTCCGCAGTTCCCCAACAGGACAGCGGGTGGGAGCCCCAAGTCACTGGCCCCTGCAGTGTTGGAGCAGCGTGAGCCACCTGTAGTCACATTGTCTCCTCTGGCAGCAGCCTCCATCCAGAAATGCATCTCAGGGTCTGTCGTCACAGGAACCTGATGCCAGAGCAGTGCGCTCAAAGTATTTGGCCACAGGTATTTTGTGGAACTGAGCATTTTCCACATCTTGCTGGAGGTCATTGTGTGTGAACTTGATGGAGCTCTTTCTCCTGGGCTTTTTTTCTAAGTGTGGGAGAGCATGGCCTGCATGACTGCTGGCTTCCAGCACGTGTCGTGCAAACCCATGCCAGGGTGTGTAATTCACTGTAGCCCTTGACAGAATAGCAGGGGATAAAGCTCATTTTTTAATCTTCTGTTTATTACCCTCAGCCAATTAACTTCTATCTACAGTAGAAGATATTTTGCCAATTTTTTTTCAAAATGGAGAAGTACCGTGCTCTTTAAAAAGTCTTTTAGAGGCACAGACTTCTCAATTTCATTACATTAAAATCACTAAAAGATAGAAAAAAGTGAAATTCACGTATCAAAGAAATTTTCTTTTAGCAAACCACTCTATTTTGTTTTGAAATGTTTGTGAATTTTCCATGCATGTGTCCAGATACATAAGGAGTTTATTCATTCAATTAAGTTAAAACATTGGATAACATGGTAAATTCAAAAAGTAGTGAGGACACGTTTTGTTTCTCTCTGTAACTGAGAAAACTGACTGATGCCTCCTGTGTGCGAGCACTGTGTAGCTGATGCAGATGTGGAAACCAAGGTTTTCTTACTTGCTGCCGCTGGCCCTGGCACTGGATGTTGGCTCCTGGAGGGCAGGGTGTCTGTTTTTATTACCACTCAGCAAGTGCCACACAAATACACATGGGTGTCTCTGCCCTCTAGTGGATCCTGGCAGGCACTGGGCGCAAATGTGACTATAAAAAAAATGAAAGATTTAAAAAATGCCCATTACCTCTAGAGGGGATTTAATTATAACACGAGGCTTTTTTTTTTCTTTTTCAAATGGGCTGATGGGTAAAAATAATGCAAGACTGGAGATGCGTTTGCCTTTCGGCATCTATGATGACTGAGTCTTTCCTCAGTGCTGCCACAGGGAGCACATTCACACATATGTCACACAAATACCAGGGTTAGGTCAAAAAACCAAGTGTTACCTGGAGGAAGCCACAGAGGCTATGAGATGAAGCCTTCACCTAGAAGACACCCGACAGTTCAGAAACCGAGATCCTGTGAGGTGTCTTGGAGAGCTCAGCTGTGACCCCGCACCGTATGAAAGGGTGGGCATTGGGGTTCAGGCAGGTGAAGAGAATTGTCCACTGTTGAGCATCATCAGCCTAAAACCCACATGCAGTGCTACTGCTGCAAAACCACTGACTGTTGAAGCCACAAACCGCAGAAACAGAAGCCCTTTATGGTCCTCACTGTGCAACTGGTGACTTTTCAGAAGATGAAGATTAAACATATTAATCATAAATTCAAAGTATCAGAAGAAATACTAGGAGATTTTCTAACCTCTGCTGCCATGACTTTTTTTTTTTTTGCAAGATTCGTGAATTATTGTAAATAAGCTCACAGAGGCCACAGTGCTCCCCTCAAGTCATCCAGAAAGATGCAGGCTGCTAATCCCCACATCTGACACATCTGTGTTTTCTTATGATAATACACAAATTAAAGATAGGGGAGAGAGAGAGGGACAGAAAGAGAGAGACAGAGAGAATTGGAGCTAAGAGGAAACACTTTCCTTTTTATTTTTATTTATTTTTAATTTATTTATTTTTAAGAGGAAACACTTTCATGTTTTGCCCCCCAAAATTCCCAGTGAACATTCCCATTGCCAGTGGGTGAAATCCAAGGCCCTGGCTCCAGGATCCTGCTCTTTCCTGTGGTGACTCCTGTGCAGATTTGGCCTAGAAACACTATGGAAGTTGTTACACTTCTCTGGACAAGTCATTATACTCGTGCTTTTGGCTCACAGGCTGCACTTCCCCGGACAACCCTTCGCCCTAAGCTCCAAGTAATTCAGCTTCATCCTTCAGAGAAGAGCTCAGGTGTCACTTCCTGTAAGGTCCCTCCCTAGCCGCCTCTCCAGCAGAAGGGCCCCCACCTTGCTCTTTGCACCTCTGTCCCTCGAGGTGGTGCTGTCCTCTTTGGAGGGTGGGACCCCGGGAACTAGAGCCCCTCTCATGCTGGTGACACTCGGCACTCTGTAAGTGTGTGCTGAGCGGATACAAGTGCGGCGAGCTTGCACAGCCTTACAATGTGTACTCTCATGTCTGGCATAGAGACCCATTTTCATTCTTTGTAAAATGAGTAAGTGGGGCTGGGTGACCCATACTCTCTTTTCAACTCAGAAGTCCACTATGAGCCTGACGTCAGATAGCTTCCCAGCCAGTGCCAGAGCAGGACCCAGGTTTTTCAATGTGTCTGTGTCCCCACAGCACGGGGAAAGCACGGAGGAATGGGACCAGCTCTGCTTCCTGCTGCCCAGTGTCAGCCAGCAACTCCAGGCTCACAAAGCCAAGGCAAAGGCACCTGCAGGAGATCTTGGTTATTTAGTAGCTGTGATTGGGCTGGGAGGAGAGTGTGTTCACTTCTGATTTTCCAGTGAATAGCATGAGACAGTAAGGTTTGAAATGTGTTTTTTTTCTCTTGCCAAAAACGAAAACAAAAAAGGCTTTTTACCTTCTCATCCTTGGAGCCACTGGCATTAGCTATGGGCCTGATAGTTTAAGAAAACTTGAAAATGAACTAGGTGAACCAGTATTCTCCAAATTAATATTTTGATAAATTGTGGAGTTCTGTATTGCAGCAAAGCTGTTGCTTAAGTGGGCAAAACTCTAGAGGATAGGAAAACACACTCTTGAAATCAGGTGGTGATGCCCTGAAATTCAGCAAACTGCAGGGGCACGTGTTGTTCTACCCCAGGTCAGAGTGTGTCAGTCATCACTTGATGCCACTCACAGACCACCAACTTCAGAATATCTAGGTGTAAAGCTCTGTACAAAAGTCGTAACATAATAATGTAAATAATTTTACCTTAATAATATTATTTATATTACACCATTACATAATGTAAGGCTATTAAAACATGTTTGTCTTCAAAGAATGGCCTTGGTTTCTGTGGGCAGTGTCTCCTTATGGAAAGGTAGTGCATTCCTGCTAAGTCCTGGACAAAACGGGCCTCCAGGAGCTCCAGGCTGCAGCAGCAGCTTCTCATCTATGTCCTTCACTGCATGATGTCGTTGTTGACTTTGAAAGCTCCTTTCAGTCTAGTTTTATCAACAGAGCTAGTTTTTCATGAGGATCTACTACATACCAGGTTCCAGAAGGCTAAATGCCTTTTATTTGTTATTATTCACTAAATACAAATAACAGCTCTCTTCTCATTACTCACACAACAAAATTTAGCTGAGGATGGCTCTAGGAGATGCAGAAGGGGCTGCATCATAAAGAATGAAGAAGGGATTTGTCATGAGAGATGGGACAGGAAATTCTCTAGAGGCAGAGGGAGAGCATGAGAATGTTGGGAAGGGAGGAGAGATTCTCACACATCTGGGAAGCTGACAATCCATGGGCTTCCCATCTGTGTAGTTTGCCTTCTCCAGTGTCTCATTAAATGAGGTCACACTGTGTGTATTCTCAGACTGTTTTCTTCCACTTAGCAATGTGCATGCAAGATTCACTCATGTCTTTGTGTGAGTTGATAGCTTGTTCCTTTCTATGGCTAAATAGTATTCCATTATATGAATGTACCACAATTTGGTTATGCATTTTGGGGAGCAAAACCTTCCTCTTCTAACTTTGTTCCAGGATTGGAGACCTTCAAATTAACTGACAATAGATACATTAGTAGAAGAGACAATACTTGGCTTCTTGTTCCACAAGTATCATTGCGGGACAAAATTCAGCAGATGGCAGGATCCAGTTTACAAAGAGGTAAAAATAGCCCAGAAACAAGAAACAAGACTAGAATCAGATAACTCACAATGGCTATAGTTTTCCTTTAAAAAAATTTTTTTTGAGACAGGGTCTGGCTCTGTCACCCAGGCTGGAGTGCAAGGTGCAATCTCAGCTCACTGCAACCTCTACCTCCTGGGTGCAAACGATCCTCCCTCCTCAGCCTCCTGATTAGCTGGGACTACAGGCACATGCCACCATGCCCATCTAATTTTTGTACTTTTGGTAGAGACGGGGTTTCACCACGTTGCCCAGGCTGGTCTTGAACTCCTGGCCTCCCAAAGTGCTGGAATTATAGGTGTGTGCTGCCATGACCAGCCATGTTATAGTTTTCCATTGAAACATAAAATTTCTCTCTGTAGTAACCATCATTTTTGATCATAATCAAAGTAAGACTATTCTTGTTTCAAAAATAAGTCTAGTTTTATTAGATTTTGCTTGATTATTTACGTAAGTGCATCAAGAACAGGAGATGACCACGTAGGTGCTTTCAAGCTTCTTTGCTGGAAGTTTTCATACAGAATCTCAGATTTGACTTTTAAAGGCCTTATTCAGGCTAAAAGCCAAGCTAAGAACTTACTATCATATTTCAGCTGCAGTCCTTATAGCTTTGTGTGAATTCCTCTCTTCTTGAGGCCCCCAAATATCCCTAAATTCCTGGGCCTACCAGGAAATGACCTTCCTTACTAACCTGTAAGGCTGTGAACCCTGTAATCTAGGTATCAGGCTGGCTTTTCTCAGAGTGCTGTTGGGAATGAAGTTTTTGGTGTTCCAAAATAAAAAAGAATTAATGTGGGAACAAATGATCTCTTAGCAAGGCAAGCTTTACTTTCTGCAGAAAGGGTGCTACTCAATAGCTGTCCAGCCACAAGAGCACACCAAACAAAGGAGACAGAGTTACTTATAATCTGATGTGTCTACCCTAGTGCTGTGTCCAGTTTCCATTGGCTGGAATAGGACCTCACATTTTACACTTTACCCGATTGGCTGTTAGTTTAAAACTTTCTTAATTAGGTAAGGGGAATAGAAGAAAGAAAGAAAAGGAAGTTGCCCAGGGATAGTTAAGGAAGGATCTCCAAATAAGGAATGGCATGCACTATGGGCTGGGGCTTGTCTAGTTCTGTCCAGGCATGCTGGAGCAAGCTAGGACAAGTGATTTGGAATACACACACACACACACACACACACACATAAATAGTGGATAGCAATCTTATAGTAAGAAATTGTGACTTTATAATCTTTGAAGAAGAACTTTCCCATTTCTCACAGTGCTTTGTAAGCATTGTTTCCATAAAAGTCAACCTTACTTCCTTAAAATTGCTGGTCATAAATGATCTTAGGTACACTTCCTAAATATGATATTCCAGTAAAAACCTTGATAATATAACCAAAATTTCCAATTATGTCCGTTATAAGGTGAACAGATTCTTATTGGACTTTTGCTAACAACTATATCATCGTGAAAATATGAGTATTCAGTAAGGATTTCAAAATTCTGGAAAAATCAGGCAGGGAAAAAAAGATAAATGCCTCATTTCTATTTATAAAAGTATAATCTACTAAATTGTTGTAAGTTACAGTTAGATTAAGAGAAAGAGATTTCTTAAATCCAGAAACTAGAACATTAAAGAACCAGTAATGCTCCAAAAAGCTATAAAGTTACAATCAATTTTCATCAGTTCATTCAGTGCCATGTAATCAATTCCAGTCTTTTTGGATCTTGGGTTAGCAGTGTCATGAACCCATCAGTTTCTCAACCAGACTTCTGGAGACCTTCACTGAGTCAAGTGTATGGTCTTAAAGTTATTTAAGCAATATCATCAGAAGCCTATAACCAGAGTACCTGTCATAGTCTTTTCCGTGAGTCTCAGAGGGAGTCCTGTGTTGGAGACGAACATTCTGACTTGTAGCTGATTGCAGGAGCTTTCAGGAAAGCATCAGGGGAAATAATATCTAAATGACAAAGAGTATGAAATGGCTGTGATGAAAGATCTGATGAGAGTTCATTATACCACAGCTGACAAGGATATTCAATTTTCTGTGTGGCATACAACATTTATTTACTTATTTAGAGACAGAGTCTCACTCTGTCGCCCAGGCTTGGGTGCAGTGGCGTGATCTTGGCTCACTGCAAGCTCCATCTCCCGGGTTCACGCCATTCTCCTGCCTCAGCCTCCCGAGTACCTGGGGCTACAGGCACCTGCCACCACGCCTGGCTAATTTTTTGTATTTTTAGTACAGACGGGGATTCACCAGGTTAGCCAGGATGGTCTGGATGTCCTGACCTTGTGATCCACCCGCCTCAGCCTCCCAAAGTGCTGGGATTACAGGCGTGAGCCACTGCGCCTGGCACAACATTTAAAATAATAATTGGAATTATGACTCATTACTCTATACTGGCACATAGCATGGATAAGGAAGACATTGACAAATTTCCAGGAATTTTATATAATTTCTGAAAACATAACATTGTACCCATACAAATATAATACAGGGATGGTTAGGTATCTCTTTTTATTTGTATCTTAAGTATGGTTTTCCTTATAAAAAATACATCCTACTTTACTTGCAAAACATGCCCTACTTTTCTTGCATGCTTTGCGTAGAGTTGTTTCTAGTTATTCTATTATTTCTAGTAGTTTTCTTTACATATATTGATTATAATTTTAACACTTAGTAATCTTTTATTTTACAGAGAAAACTAGGAAGTAGAGAGTTATAAACTGTCATATATTACCATTCTATAGTAGGTTAGAAAATGTATGAATATACCATCTCCCAACATCTAGAGGGATGTGTTTCCTCATAGTACAATTTCTCAGTGTGGCAGAAAAAAAGACGTTTATTAATGGGCCAAAATATCTTTAGTCTCTCTGTAAAAGTAGCAAGGCAAAATTATATAAACTTGAATCATTTATGCTCAGTAATAAATGTTTTAGTATTGTATCTTATTTATAAATGGTCTAGATATTTAATGCAAATCTTTTACTTAGCTTAACTTTAAGGTTAAAAATTACCAAAAGTACTTTGGAAACTATTCTTAGGCAGATTTACTGTAAACAAATTATTTTTGAAATAATGTTTTTCGCTTTTCACAAGATGGCATCGAAAGTGAAGAAGGAAGCTCCTGCCCGTCCTAAAGCTGAAGCCAAAGCGAAGGTTTTGAAGGTCAAGAAGGCAGTGTTGAAAGGTGTCCATAACCACATGCAAAAAGAAGATCCGCATGTCACCCACCTTCAGGCGGCCCAAGACACTGCGACTCCAGAGGCAGCCCAGATATCCTCAGAAGAGCACCCCCAGGAGAAACAAGCTTGGCCACTATGCTATCATCAAGTTTCCGCTGACCGCTGAGTCGGCCGTGAAGAAGACAGAAGAAAACAACACGCTTGTGTTCACTGTGGATGTTAAAGCCAAGAAGCACCAGATCAGACAGGCTGTGAAGAAGCTCTATGACAGTGATGTGGCCAAGGTCACCACCCTGATTTGTCCTGATAAAGAGAAGAAGGCATATGTTCGACTGGCTCCTGATTATGATGCTTTGGATGTTGCAACAAAATTGGGATCATCTAAACTGAGTCCAGCTGGCTAACTCTAAATATATGTGTATCTTTTCACCATAAAAAAATGATGTTTTTCATAAGAATGACAAATTAATTAGAACCAAATCTATAAGCTTTAAGATTTTACGTTTTTAGTAAGTATAATATTAGCTTATTTGACTAGAACTCAAGCAGAATAGGAATTTATGTTTGTTTTATATTCAATAGTGATAATTTTGAAGACAGTTGTTTTATTACACCAAAAATATTATATTAATCTTATTTAACTAAGTTTTATCCAAATCGTGTTAACTTAAAAAACATTTGATCAGTTCCTATATTTCTAGGAGTTTGGTGAATATTTACTTATAAATGCTTATTTTTTTCCAAGCCAAGTTAGAATAGAGCACTTTTAGAGGATTTCATAAATGAATTTTGCAATGCTATCCGGAGTTAAGAAAATATCACATATATGTTACATACATTAATAGATATACAAACACAAATAGAGATTTCATAGCTTTCATCCTGAAATTTCAGCCATGAATCAGGCATAAATATTCTGATGGTTAATTTTAGACATCTACTTGACTGGACTAAGAGACACACATAGCTGGTCAAACACAATTTCAGCCATGAATCAGGCATAAATATTCTGATGGTTAAGTTTAGACATCTACTTGATTGGATTAAGAGACACACATAGCTGGTCAAACACAATTTCTGGGCATATCTGTGAGGGTGTTTCTGGAAGACACTGAGATAACCATGACCCAGTGTAGATGGGAACTGATATGGTTTGCCTGTTTCCCCACCCAGATCTCATCTTGAATTGTAGTTCCTATAATCCCTAAATGTCGTGGGAGGGACCCGGTGGGAGGTGATTGAATCATGGTGGTGGTTACTGCCATGCTGTTCTCATGACAGTGAGTGAGTTCTCACGATCTCATGGTTTTATAAGGGGCTTTTCCCCTTTGGCTCAGCACTTCTCCTTGTTGCTGCCTTGTGAAGAGGGATAGATTTGCTTCCCCTTCTGCCATGATTGTGAGGCCCCTGCAGCCATGTGGAACTGTCAGCCCATTAAACCTCTTTGTTCTTTATAAATTGCTCAGACTCAGGTATTTCTTCATAGCTGTATAAAAATGGATGAATACAGGCACCATCCAATTGGTTGAGAGCCCAGATAGAACAAAAAGGAAGAGGAAAGGTGAATTATCTCCTTCTGAAACGGAAACATCCTTCTTCTCCTGCCCTTGACATCAGAACTTCGGGGTCTCAGACCTTTGGCCTCACAATCAGAGTTACACCATTGGCTTCCCTGATTCTGAGTCCTTTATATCTGGAGTGAGCCATGCTGCCAGCTTTCCTGGTTCTCGAACTTGGAGACAGGCTATTGTGTAACTTCTCAGCCTCCATAATTATGTGAACCAATTCCCCTAATGAGTCTTCTCTCATCTATCTATCTACATATATCCTATTGATTCTGCCTTTCTGGAGAACCCTGACTAATGTTATTACAATAATACTAAATTCACTAGTTTATGTAGAAGACTTGGTTTTTGTCTTTGCCCAATTTTATATTTGTATTATAACTGTGTATCTGGAAAATGGAACAAGTTTTTATCTTCTTCATATGAGCGCCAAAGCTTTTGTCTCACCAATATTTTTGGAGATTTTTAAGATTTTCTTTTGTTTGGACATACAATCTTATGGAGGATGAGAAATATTTTTTTTTCTATTTTATTTTTCAGCCCCAGGTGTTTGCTTTTGCAGATTCTTGAGCACATTGAGAGCATGGAGAGCACTCCAAGGCATGGAGTGGGGTGCCTAAAGTTTCAGTGATTACAGGGAGTTGAGATACTCAACTGGGAAAGGAAAAGTCTAAAAGGAGGCAATTTGGAAGATAAAAATTTTCTCAAAAGAGCGATTAAATTTCTAAATAATTCTTAGTAAAATCATGCAAACAGGAAAGGAAGTAGAATTAGTTCCATATTGTTGGAACACATAGTCAGCAGAGGTTTGAGAAGGGAGAATTTAGTCAACTGAGAAGTTCCCATGAAAGGAGCAAGTTCAAGATCACAGAGACACCTTGAAACAAAAAGCCAGGAATAACTTCCGACCCAAGAAGAGAACAGAGAGGCCTCAAAACCAAAGCTAGGATAAGAAACTTGTAGCCCAAGAGTTATCTTCCAGACAAAGAAGCCTGAGATTCCAACGCAGCTTCAGAGAGTGCTCACTCAAAATGTTACTGAAACTGTAGGCTTTTTAATGACTTAGCCATGCCTGCAAAAGGCATTCCCTAAGGTGGCACAGAAGACGGAGCCCCCATATCCAAAGATAGCCAAGGAGAAAGAAAGACCCCTGTTGCCAGAGCCAGTGGGCAAAGGCAACAGAAAAGGAGACAAGGGTCCTAATGGGATGAGATCCTTTCGGATTTAGGCTTTTATACAAACTCCTGAGAACTGGCAGGTTGACAGCCATAAATGGGGTACCAAACTTTCTACTCATTGGATTACAAGTTCTCAGGCATCCAGAATGATGAACAAAATGACAATTTCTAGGGCTTCTGTGGGAGAGTATGGAAAGATCTTTTTGAACCTTTTAATGCTATCAGTGGAAGAACGATGAGGTTCATAAATTTGGAAAGGAGACATTTCTTCATTTTTATGTTTATTTTTATTTTTATTTTTTGAGACAGAGTTTCACTCTTGTTGCCCAGGCTGGAGTGCAATGGTGTGATCTTGGTTCACTGCAACCTCCACCTCCTGGGTTCAAGCGATTCTCCTGCCTCAGCCTCCTGATTAGCTGGGATTACAGATACCCACCACCACACCTGGATAATTTTTTTTTGTATTTTTAGTAGAGACAGGGTGTCATCATGTTGGCCAGGCTGGTCTGAAACTCCTGACCTCAGGTGATCCACCTGCCTTGGCCTCCCAAAGTGCTGGGTTTACAGGCATGAGCCACCACACCCAATGAGAGATTTATTTCTTATAAAGGGTTGCAGCCTGAAGGGTTGTCCTTCTGACAGGCTGGGAAGCACAGCCTCCAGCCAGAAGCCAGAAACAGATGCTTCAAGGAGGAGGTAAAGGAAATAGTAATTTATGCTGATTGGAATGGCCAAATGCATTTATTTAATAAGCTCTAGGAGGAGTCATGAATATTTATGGAAGGAGAAATGCATGCATGTGCAATTGAGTTTCTTGCTTCTTCATGGGTCCCATGTACAAAAAATGGCAGTGTTATCATGATCCCAGGGTGGAGTTTTCAGCTATCTGACATTAAAAGGTGAAGCAGAGGACATGAAAACTCGCTCTGTGCATCCTCTGTACACTGGCCAGAACCTCTCCATTGTGGGTGGTCTCTTATCAGGCAAGAAAGGAGAGGTTGATATCAGTGGTAGAGCCTTTGAAAGGGCTGGTTTCTGTTAAATCCTTAGGGAAGAAAGCCTCATCAAGGTTAGCAAAGGAAGGGGTATAACGATGTGTATCTGACCTCCATCATCCCATCCTAGCAAAGCTGAGAACTCAGTTTTGAAAGTTACTCTGGGGTCCCCTCAGCCAAGAGTGGGTCTGTTCAGTCAGTTGGGAGCTTAGGATTTTATTTTCATTTATCAATGCTAATGGGAAAGAGTACGCTGTGTCTATGGCAGCTGAATTTGCAAGAAACTCCTTGGATGGGGTTAATGGCAGTTGTATTTTTCTGGGAGTTCTGCTTTAATTGGATAAAGTAAGTTCTGGTAAGATTTCTTCCTTTATCTTCAGTATCTCAAGTGTTTTCACTTAAATAATCTTTATAACAACTTTTGATGTCTGAGTGGAGTCCCACACAGTCGTCTATTGTAAGACTTTCTGATTCCTTTTTTTTCCTTTAGTCATTCTGAATAGGGCTTCTGTAAATAATTGCATGGTAGCTTTTGTTTGGAAATAACATCAAAGTAGTTGTCAAAATACTTAGGAATGTGATTTTTGGATTGTAAGGTGAGACTTGTTTAGCTTTAGAAAAAACTGCCGAAATTTTAATGGGGAGGAAAAAAATTTTCTATGTTTTTGGAATTCTTAGATGGGACCCGCTGTAAAAACTGACAGATTAAAATGAGAAAAACAGAAAAGTTTAAAAACATGTATACCTTATGGATACATGGGAGATACTCAAGGAAAAATGAGTAAATCTCCAACAGGTGGCTTTCAATTAAAGCATAAATACTATCTTCAACTTAAAGAAAGAAGATTTGAGGTGCAGTGGTGAGTGGGGAGTTAGCCAGCAAAAGCACATTAGACAAGGGTAAGGTTCGTTATACAGACTTAAGTCCATGCATTCTCCATTGATAAGAGTCTTTAGTGATTTAGTTATCCTTCTTGGTGTCGAGAGAGGTAGCTTTTAAATGGTGATTTCCTTTATAGATGTAAATTTTCCTTACACAAGTGTAACTTCTACTCTGTTTTCACAACTTCCTTTGTTAGCATTTTTTTTTTCAAAATAATTAGCTTGGAATAATTGTTAAGCCAAAGGGACATATTTTGGGGTTTCATATTCTGGTTTCCTACCATTATATTTTGGGGTGGCATATTTTGGTCTTATACACTGTGTTCCACCGGCAATGAAAAGAGTTCTTGTTTTTCCTCCAGCAATTTGTCATTTGTTAAAGAGTTTAGCAGTTCTAAGAGATACAGACCAGCTGTGCTATCTTTTTGTGGTTTTCAGTTCTCTAGTATGTTGAGCATCTTTTTGTAAGTGTACTTGCCATCTGTAGATCTTCTTTGGTGAGGTGTCTGTTTAGATCTGTGTGTTTTTAATTGGGCTGTTTAACTTATTGTTTAGTTTTAACACTTTTTTATATATTTTGAATACAAATTCTCAGATCTGTATTTTGCAAATATTTTCTTCAATATGTGGCTTGTCTTTTTGTTCTCTTAACAAGGTCTCTTCCAGAGTATAAACTGTAAATATTAAGAAATCCACATTGTCATTTCTTCTGTGTATATCAACCTTCTGTGTCATTTGTTAAAATTCATTGCCAAACGCAAAGGCACATAGCTTTTCCTCTATAGTTTCTTCTAGAAATTGTATAGTTTTGCATTTTTAATCTAAGGATGATTTTGAGTGATTATTTGTGTAAGTTGTAAAGTTTTCATCTACATGCATATCATTTCTTATGGTTTCCAATTAATCATTCCCTCACTATTTTTGGGAAAGACACAGGATAGTGGGCTCTGTTAGAGTAGATAGCTAGACATGAACAGGAGGGGGAGCTCCTGGAAAAGGGAAAGTCTGTGAAGGCTCACGTGGAGGGACCACCAAAAATGCATATATTAGTAGCATCTCTAGTGCTGGAGTGGATGGGCACTTGTCAATTGTGGTTAGGAGGGAGAAGAGGTACCTACGCAGAAACACCCTAGAACTTCTCTTGAGATGCCCCAATCATCATTCACTCTGCAATAAAAATGTCAGAATATTGCTAGCTACATGCTGATAAGAAGGAGAAAGGGGACATTCTTAAGAGAAACCTGGCACCATAAGTACAGATTAGGGCAGAGAAAGACATTCAAAAGAGGCAGCTGCAGTAGATACAAACGTGACCGCTGTCAGCCTGCCTGGTATGGCGGGAAGGAGGCTGGTGCCAGAGTGGATTCGGATTGATCACCACACATGTACCTCAATCAACAGTGAGGAGGTCCCACAAGGCTAAGTGGGGCAAGTCGGGGACCTAAGGCAGTAGCAGGAAAACCAAAGAAAACAGGCGGAGACTTGAGACAGAGGCAGGAATGTGAAGAAGTCCAAAATAAAAATCCCTGCACAGGACTCTTAGGCTGTTTTCATGCACTATCAGCCTACTCCTCCCTATTTTTGTACAATAAGCTCTTTACACTGTATTTCTTTTCAATGAAGTTATCTTCCATCTTTGTACTGCCTCTTGGTGAAAAGCTGTCTTCCAAGTTAATAACTGGGACATCAGCTCTCCGCAGTAATAGCTCCTTTTCAGTTTTAATTTGCAGAACTGATGGGGATTAATAACTGGCGCTCTGACTTTCAGTGGTGCAGGAGGCGGCCAGTAGGGGACGCCAGCCGTTACACCGGGAGCAAGAGGGCCCTCCGTAGTCCCCATCTGCCTGCATGTGGCGTGCAGCCACGACAATGGCAGCAAGAGGGCCCGGCAGTGTGCCCAGCTGCCAGCAGGCGGGTGTGCTGCCACTATAATGTGAGGAAGAGGGCCCTGCAATGTCCCTAGCTGCCAGCAGGCGGCGTGCCACCACTATACTGCGAGCAAGAGAGCCCTGCCGTGCCCCGGCGCCAGCACGGGGCGCTGGACACCACTGTAAGCAAGAGGGCCCTGCAGTTGTCCTACTCGCCAGTAGGGGGCGAAATGGCAGAGCACCGTGGGCAAGCTGGTCCTGCAGTGCCCGGCTGCAAGCAGGGGGCGCCCGAAACGGGCTTTTCAGAATACTCAGGTTCCACTGGTCTCTGCGCCGCGCCGCCGGGGACGTGTGTCTCTGCGCGTGCACCGCACCACCCCCGCGCTCCCCGCCCGGCGGCGCGCGACTGTGCGACTGCAACACTCCCCGCCACCCTCAGCCCAGCGACGTGCGTCTCTGCGCCTGCGCCGCGCCTCACTCCGGCCGCCCAGCGACCCCTCCCCTCCGGGGAGGCGCCGGCGTGCGTCTACGCCCTGCGCCGCGCCTCTCTGCGCCTGCGCCGGCGCGCCGCGCCTCTCTGCGCCTGCGCCGGCGCGCCGCGCCTCTCTGCGCCTGCGCCGGCGCGCCGCGCCTCTCTGCGCCTGCGCCGGCGCGCCGCGCCTCTCTGCGCCTGCGCCGGCGCGCCGCCTTTGCGAGGGCGGAGTTGCGTTCTCTTTAGCACACACCCGGAGAGCATCGCGAGGGCGGAGCTGCGTTCTCCTCTGCACAGACTTCGGGGGTATTGCGAAGGCGGAGCAGAGTTCTTCTCACGTCAGACCCGGGCGGGCGGGCTGAGGGCACTGCGAGGGCGGAGCTGCGTTCTGTTCAGCACAGACCTGGGGGGCACCGTAAAGGCGGAGCAGCATTCTTCTCAGCACAGACGTTGGGGGTACTGCCTGCCTTTGGGATAACTCGGGGCCGCATCGACAGTGAATAAAATCTTTCCCGTTTGCTGCCCTGAATAATCAAGGTCAGAGACCAGTTAGAACGGTTTAGTGTGGAAAGCGGGAAACGAAAAGCCTCTCTGAATCCTGCGCACCGAGATTCTCCCAAGGCAAGGCGAGGGGCTGTATTGCAGGGTTCAAGTGCAGCGTCAGAACTCAAATGCAGCATTCCTAATACATACATGACACCCTAAATATAACAGGCATATTACTCATGGAGGGTTAGGGTTCAGGTTCGGGTTCGGGTTCGGGTTCGGGGTTCGGGGTTCGGGTTCGGGTTCGGGTTCGGGTTAGGGTTTAGGGTTAGGGGTTAGGAAGGGTTAGGGTTTAGGGTTTGGGTTTGGGTTAGGTTAAGGTTTAGGTTTGAGGTTAGGGTTAGGGTTAGGTATAGGGTTAGGGTTAGGGGTTAGGGTTAGGGTTTAGGGTTAGGGTTAGGGGTTAGGGGTTAGGGTTAGGGTTAGGGTTAGGGTTAGGGTTAGGGTTAGGGTTAGGGTTAGGGTTAGGGTTAGGGTTAGGGTTAGGGTTAGGGTTAGGGTTAGGGTTAGGGTTAGGGTTAGGGTTAGGGTTAGGGTTAGGGTTAGGGTTAGGGTTAGGGTTAGGGTTAG